>NC_000003.12:169008604-169160119 GCF_000001405.40 Homo sapiens | reverse complement strand
ATAAATTAAAGGGACAAAATATTTGTTTCTCTTTTGATATAAAGATGGCTATATAAAAATCCACCACCAACAAAAAAAACCACAGAGGGCATTTGCATAGGAAGTACCAACGATTTTATTGAGTTAGAACTCCATTTAAAAATAGCTCATGCTTATTAGGTGCTTAGTATGTGCTAGACACTAAATTAAGTGCTGTGCATGGATTACCTCATTTCATCCTCTCAATAGCCCTATGAGATACTTTTTATCATTATACTCATTTTACAAAGGAGGAAACCAAGCTGATAAGTAACTTTACATATGTCACACCCCAAGCACATAGCGAAGCTGTGATTTGAATCCAGGCTGCCCCACTGCAGATTCTGTGTTGTTAGTCACTATCCTAAACTTCTTTTTTAAAATTTTTATTTGGATTTATGCTATCTCTCCAAGTACTGTACTTCTTTATGAGTCTCTATTTACCAGATATTACACTAAGTGCTTTATATACTTCACCTCAATTGTTTAACCCTAATAACTTCTTAGAAGTCCCATTATTGCAATTTTATTTATTTATTTTTTTGAGACGGAATCTCGCACTGTTGCCCGGGCTGGATGCAGTGGCGTGATCTTGGCTCGCCGCAACTTCTGCCTCCCGGGTTCAAGCAATTCTCCTGCCTCAGCCTCCCAAGCAGCTGGGATTACAGGTGCCCACCACCATGCCCAGCTAATTTTTTGTATTTTTAGTAGAGACAGGGTTTCACTATGTTGGTCAGGCTCGTCTCAAACTCCTGACCTCGTGATCTGCCCACCTTGGCGTCCCAGAGTCCTGGAATGATTACAGGCATGAACATGCCTGGCCTGCAATTTTAGAGATACTAAAAGAGAGGCTGAAGAAGTTGAAGCAACTTTCTCACTATTACATAACTAGAAGCAGACTCCCTCAAGGGTGTAACATCAGAAGGCTATGGTCTAGCAGGAAACTGTGGATGAAACTGATTGCTCATGAGGCCAAGTGTTTTCCTTTTTGCTGAGAGGAAGCTTGTAGTTTACTGGGCCCTAGGAAGAAAACTTCCTACCTCATTATGGCAGTTTACCATGTTCAGCCCATCACCTTCCCTGTGAAAGGCCATGGGAGACAGGAAGTTTGTGAAAACAGATGACTGGCACTTCTTCCTAGGTACGGGTGATTCGAGAGTTGAATTATGAGAGCCATGAACCTCGGTTATCACCTGGACCACACACAAAAAATTTTGGGGGCGAGAATAATTAGAGAAGTGCTGGTCTGCACCCCACTACGCATAAAAACACACTGTCTCAATTACTTATCTTGTCATTGCAATGGAATATTTTTCATAAATGAAACCAAATTCAGTGAATTTACATCTTACTGAGAGCTTAGGTTCTACAGTGAGCAGGTAATTGAAAATCAAGTATAATCAAATTTTTCCTCTGCTCAGCTCTGCTCTTGAACCATCCAGTGTTGGAATGGACCACCGTGGCTTCGGCCGAGCACCAGAGGAAGTGGTATATTTGCATTCAGAGGATGCATGGTGTGAAAAATACACATCTTTAAACCCGAGAGTCACACTTGATGGAACACGATACTCATAGTACAAAAGGCATTTGAACACTGATTCCTTTTGAGGAAACAGATGATTCGTGTTTCCGTCTCATGCTCTTTCCTGGGTAAAGGCTCATTCATTCTCCCTCCCTCTTTCTCTCTCATCCATACTCCCTGCCTTCCGTTTCCCTCTGTTTGTAATAGTTGTAAGTCTTGAACGTGTATATGTTGTGACTTCACTGTGTTTTCCAAGATTAAAATTCAGCAAAATATATTTTATGAAGACTTTTATAATGACCTTCTTGAAATCTTCCAACACTGATTACCAAGGAGATTATATACGGACAATGATAAACAGTTTTATGGTAATTTCTCCAGGGACGACAACCACCACCACATTTTTTAAAAGTTACGTAGCTAAAACACTTAGTGAGTCATTTAAATTTAATTAATCAACACTTTTTTTGAGAAATTTTGAACCTCGCCAGCTCTTGTAGAATGGATGTGGGGTGGAGGAATATAAAATTGTATAAGGCACAATGTAATATTAGACAAAAGTATGAGTTTAAAATGTTAAACCTGTAGTCATTTCAATCACCTTCCTAGGCTCATCATTTCAATGTTCTCCACATCATGATCCAGCTCTATGGTTTATTTATAAATTGGCAGTCCAGATTATATGTGGAGAGAAATTATGTGTGAATCAGGGTGCATATTTTTCTTTCCTCTTTAAGTATTTCCATTCATGTCCCTTCTGGCATCCCCCCCTTCTAGTTGTAGGGCACTGTGTTAGCAAACTTGGATTTGTTTTCCAGCCAAGAACTACATAGAAAACACAAATACCTTTGAGAATCTGCTTCTTGGAAGTTGACCAGTACTTAATTCTGGATTCTATAGACAGGCTATATTAAGATTTTATTTGAAGTTGAAGAATTTACTCAACAACATTTACAGAAAGATATTTTCAAAGCTACAGTTGAAATCAATGTCCATATTTTCACAATGATATAGAGATTGTATTGGTACTTTAATTGCTATTGGAATATTTTGACATTTTACCATTTGATATGTATCATAAGATGTGACACTCACTAAATGGATTATAAACTAAACATACTTTTCTGGCTCTGTAGTGTTGTTACTTTATTTTTTAAGTGTTTGGCTACAGTCATTGAAATAGTGAAATGAAATTTTAGGATTTCCAATGTAGAGAAAGGATAAATGTTTCATGAAATCATTGATAATGACTTAACACATTCATTGTTTCTTAACGCTGTAACAGACATCATAACCAAGTATAAGTAATATGCAGCATCCACCATCAGAGATTTGGGGTGGGGCAATTATTCTGAGGCCAGAATTGCCTGACTAAGCCTTCTTCCTTCCTTTAGTATACACCTTTTTAGGTGTACTTTCAATAGAAGCAAGCACGTTCAATAGAACACAAATTAATCACAGCCATTAGTGTTCTTTGCAGAGAAGACTGTGTGGTCGCTCCTATGAAATGTTCTGTTTCTCAGGATGAGTTAATTCATCTGGAACAACATTAGTTCATCAAGGTTTGTGGTTTATCTAAAGATCAAATTCCTGTAATTTTGTATGCCATCTGATTTAATGTCCAGTTAGTTTCGTGGTTAGACAGTCATGGGCAGGCATAACACATGAATCTAATATCAAAAACTGGAAAAAAGGTGAATTCTTAAAGGTTTAATTCAGGCATCCTTAGATGGAGATTGCACTGCTGCTTTTCTTTCTCCTAGGGAAATGCATATCTAGATAATGCCAAATCTTATTAAGAAAAGTCTAAATAATATAAAACATTGCATGTGAATATGCCCATGGTAAAAATCTCTGCTTTGGAAGGACTTTTAATGGAGGAGGATAGGAAGAAGTGGGTTGATCTTGAAATGAGATTGTATATATTCCTTTGGAAGGTTCTCAGGCCGTGTACTCAAATACAATTGTAATAGTTTACAGGCAAAGGATCGATTGGCTAGAGTTTACTGATAACCTACTTTCTTTGTGATCTTTATAGACTTTCCAAATGCTTTCAATTTGAATAAAATGTGGAAGCTTCATTTTGTCTTTATTTATTTATGACTGTTTTGTGGGGACTTTTTTTTATCAAGAGTTGAGAACAGTCAGTTGATAGAAAAATATATGTATGGGGAATATTTATGCTTTTCTGAAACAAAGTAATATAAAACTTTATTTACAAAATTGTTTTCCTTAGGTGTTCCAGTGGAAGAGGAGAGAGGCTTTCACATAAGTTTAATTACCTACGATGATGCCTGGTCGAATAAGCCAAATAGGTCTCTTTACTAAAGGATTTCCTAGACTTTTAGAGTTTTAGACTTAAGTGTATTTAGCACATTGGTGCTCATTGTGAAGCTCCAAGAGGGAGCTATCTTTATCCATTGGGTGAAGTTAGCTCTCTGAGTTGACCTCAGAGCCAATTTCCAGGGAATATCTGATAATAACTTTTCTAATAACCAATTAGAAAATGCTGGTGTGAAGGATGTTTCCTGCCATCAAACAGTATACAGGTAGATTGGCTGATCACAGAAATATCCCAAACTATTTTAAGAATAATGACTAATTAGTGAATGCTTTTAATATTACATACTGTAAAAATTTCAAGAAAGAGGGCCTGGAAGGCTTTGCAGGAGCTTGATGAATGGAACTATCACTTTGCCTACTTGATCTATTGTTTCATCTCCTGAACGCTGTCAGTGTCAGAGGTAAGAGAAGTGAAGGACCTACCTCAGCACAGTTGAAGGGCCAAGAGCTTCTATTCATATTTCCAGTTGTTAACCAGTGCTAAAGATTTGTGTAGAGGAAACAAGCAGGAAATGGGCCTAGAAAGACGATAAATTTGACATCAAATTGTAAAAGAGGAGATTGCATTTTGGATTAGGGGCTTTATTTTCTAGCAAATTGGGATCCATTGGAGTTTTTGTTAGTGCGGTTTTTCTTCTGTTTTTTGCTCTTTACCTTTTGTTTTTAGGTAAAGCAAAGCATTGTTATAACTTTGTTATTTTAGGAAGACTAATGTTTGGTGTAAAAATGCCACAAAAACTCAGGCCTAAAAGGACAATAGCCTTCACTAGACCAGTGCCAGTGGGAAAATGAGCACCCTGTAGAAACAGTTTAACAGACCAACTGAACCAATGACTATTTATTGGGGACAAGGGAAGGAGAGGAGTCCAAGATACTGTCCAGGATTTGTGCCCAGAGAAAGGAGAGAGATGGTAAAGAAATGGAAACATGGGGTAAGGCAAGTATGGCAATATTGTGCTATCTGGAGAGGCAGCAGTGGTAGGAATTCCTTTCTAAATCCCTGAAAAAGAATCATCACTGCATCAACTGATTCCTAAGGGGGAATAGTGTTAAGTAACCAACTTTGCTTGGATGTAAATAAAGTAATTCCCCATACATTTAGCCATAATTAATTTATTCTTACAAAAAGTCTCAAAGACAGTTTAGTTTATGATGGAAAGCTGTTATTGAAGATATCAGTAGGAACAAAACTTGATTCCGTCCTTAAAAATCTTACAATGGTCCTTAGGAGGACAAGAGCATTAAAGACACACCTGTAAGTAAGGAAGAACTGGCTATAAACCAGGAGAGAAGCACAGATAATTTGGGTTGAAGGATGGAAAGGTCAAGCCTGGGTGGTAAAAATCAGCAGACATAAAAAATGGTTGGTTTAGAAGTATAGATAAGATTTTATCTATGATAACCAAGGCAAAATAAATTATAGGCTGAGCAATAATAATGATAGCAATTAAAATTATAATAGCAATACCAATAATAATAGCTATTTTCTATTGACTATATCCTATATCCTCTTCATGATTCTAAGTGATTTACCTACATTGCCTCATTGAATTCTCAAAAAAAATGGAATGAATTTATACTGAATTGTTAGGCAATCGGAACTCACTGAAAAACTGTGAGCAAGGGAATAAGTAACAGCAGATGGTTGAGAGGATTAACATCAAGGACTTTAAACTGGTGGGAGAGTGAATGGTGGTCAGAGGATCTGGCAGGAGATCATTGCAATAATTCAGACTAGAGGTAACAGGCATCCAAATTAGGCATTCAAACTAGGTGAGAATGGAAGTCAAGGAAGGACCTGATCCATTTTTTTTTCAACAAACATCTACTAAATACTTGATGTCATGCATTATGGTAGACTCTGGGCAACAGGGGCAAAAAAGATAGACCCAATTCCTGCCCTCTTGGTACTTAAAGTCTGTCTACCAGGAGACATTGTAGAGAATAAATTTCCTGGCCTTGGTAACAAATATTGACCTAAAACTAGTCCAAGATGTGTGTGTGTGTGTTCCTACCCTCGTTTTTAGGGCTCTGGAACTCAATGGTATTCCACCTTTGCTGCAGAATACTCTCTCTTACTGACTGGCAGAGAACACAGTGGGTAGAACAGAACAAACTCAGCTGCAAGCCAGACAGAGACGGACATCTTCATGGGTAGCACAGCTTGAGAGAAAAAAAACACTTTTCTTAAAATTCTTCCCTTCCAAGGTCAGGGTAAGGATTAGGGCAACTGACACTGGAATGGAAGAAAGAGGAAACAAAACTACTTACACTTTGCTGTTCCCCAAAGTATAGGCCAGACTATCTTCCTCATTGTGCATGTATGTAAGTTTACTGTAACCCGTTACACAAACACAAATACTGTGAAACTTATAGTATTTTGACCTGTTCCCATGAACTCAGGGCAGTTCACACTCACGTTACCCAATTTATTTTCCCAACACTCGTAATAGTCTGATATTATGAAACTGTCATGGAAACCAACTCAAAGGTTAAGTGACTTACCCAAAGGTACACAGCTAGGCGTGGAGAGAGGAGGAAAATCAAGCTTCCAACAAACTTTCCCCACAAGATTATGAGTCTAAAAGCACTCTTAGATGGTGTATCTAAAGCTCGAGGGAAGAATCTGATCCTGGAGTTATTGCATAATGTGCTAAATACTATATTGAAAGATTGAATTAATTAAAATTAATAAAATAATGAAAAATGAATTCCTTATAGAGTTGAGGTTTTTTCCAAAAGCACTTACTACCTCACTAATTTAGTCCGAAGTTAAAAAGAATGAGGGATTTCACCTTTTGAGACTAATGATAATCGTAAGCAAAGTTATCTTTTATAAAATAAAAAGATAATAGTAAATTTTTCCTAGTGATATAAAACAACCAGTTGTCTGAACAACCAGATTGATATGTTATGCATTTTTTGTGACTGTCTCAGTTTTTGTATTTATTTTTTCATCATTTATTTCTTGAATATATCTTGTAATAAATACACATCAAAGAGTTAAACATCCCTACTTTTGGGAAATATTTCTCTATTGTCTCTATTTTGCTACCAAAGTTTTACAGTATTTTATTAACATTTTTATTTTATCATAATATTTTCATTTAAACTTGGTATAAATTTGTTGCTGTGCATTAACCACTCAGCATCATAGCTTAGGACTGAAACACATCAAAATAGTCCAGCAAAAAATATTTTAAATATGGCAACCTTAACTGGAGTTTAAAAAATAAAACTTTGAGTATAATAATTTATTCACCAGAGCGGTTGTTTCAGCAAAGTACTTCATCTTAGTTTCCAAAGAGCTGCTAGTTGTTACTAAATATATTTTAAAATAGAAGCAAAAAAGAAATCTGCTCTCATTCTGGCCAAATATACTATAAAATATTAAACTGTTAAAATCTTTGGCATTTTGGAGAAAGATCAGCTAGGTGATTATGCTTGTATAGTTAATTAATAAGAAAGGAAGTAGGTAATGGTTCACTGGGGAAACTTTTGTTATCACCATGTCTATTTATGAAGGATCCCATGCTGTAGGGACAATAACGGGGTGCTAATTCTGAACGCACACAGTGCCGTCCTACAAAGACATCAAGATTTGTAGGAAATCAACCCTCCAGCAGTCCTGGCAAGCCAGACTGACCCCAGCAAATGAAAATAATCAAAAGTAATTAGAAGCGTGCTGGACTACTCCTCGGAGAGCCGAATAGGAGAGTAAACATGCCTGAATCCTCGAGCCACTGCAAAGGCCCATGTCTGAGCTGTTAGGTGCCCTGACCTTGTCCACATAAAGATGTGATTTATGAAGTGCAGGGCACAGCAGCAGGGCTTCTGTCTTCTCCTGGAGAACCAAATTACTGAGGTGGAGATTAACATGCTTTCAGTCGGGCCCATTTCCAGACCAAGGGAAATTTTTTATTTAAATTTGTTTTATCTTTAATTTCCTCTTTTCTAACAGCACACCCCAATAGATAAAAAAAATAATAATTTAAAAAAAATAAAAAAAGGCAGAGTCCACCAAGAGTCACCAGTAATCTCTCTTCAGTGCAGTTGTGATATGTGTGTGGGGCTACGGACAGTCACAGCATTTTTGTTGGTAAATTTGTATTGTGCTGGACTGTTTCACTGGATCTGTCTGATCAAAGCATCACAGAATTCACATTCATGCTTAGAGAACAAAGCTTGCAAAATACTTATTAAATTAAAAAACAGAAATTATTAAAATTAAACAGAATATCACCTTAGATTTCATGGCTTTCTGATCTAGTTTATCTTGCCTAAAGGTCATGCTTCATTACAAAGTTTACTCTATTAAATAAAAAGATTTGGGAAAAGAAATTGTGGGTGGTAGAGAATTTAGAGGAGTAGGAGAAAGACAAATTGGGAGAAATATTTATATATGAATCAGTGGGAAGTCTCTTGAGTCCTAAAAGACATACTTACATTATTTCTTATCTTTGTGTCAGTTAGGTTAGGTAAGATTTTACAAAATCCTATTCTGACATGGAAAAGGAAGCATTGATTTTCTTTTTAAACACACATCAATATCTATACACGAAGCTAATTTAATTAGCAGGCACTTATTGTTCAGCCAAATGTCAATTTCTCAGATTATTTCATGCTTCTTGACATGAACTGTATGAAACAGGATTTAACAGAATCTCCATGAATAAAACTCCACTTGAGAAATGTAAAAATGCACATGTACGTTCTTGAAAAGCTACAAAAAAATAGAGTTAAAACAAAGATGTTAGGCTTGGAGTTTAGTGTATATTTAGCCACCTCAAGAAACCCAAAGCTGCAGAATTAAGGGAATTTAGACTGAGGTTATAAAGTGCCTTCCTCTATAAACTAAAAACATAATGTCAGGGTGAATGGGAACATACTTTATTAACTTTACGGTATTGAAAACTGCCAGCAAGTTGTCTTGTTTTTAAATATTGTCCTCTGCAGAGTGTTACAGTGCTGTTTGTCCACAGGAAGCCTATTAAAAGTGGACAGTGCAGTCATTTCATCTGGCTTTGGCTGGACTGCTTTTCTTTCCTTTAATGATGTGCTGGAATGTACCATGCCCATAGGGTCTCCATTAGCAGAACTTTTACTTCTGGGACGACCATGAAGTTTAAGGCTTAAAAGAGGCATCAGTTTACAGTCTTGTGGGAATCACTTGAATACTGGAGCACTAACTTCTTACTGCTTTAACTAATATATTGACTTATTTTAAATAAACAGTTACACAATGAAGGCAGAGCCAGTGGCCTTATTGGAAATCTTTGGGCTTTTTAAAGATTCTGCAATCCACACAGCTGGGGAAGGAAGGAAGGGGCCTGAGGAGGGTTTATGCCCTTTTCAAACCAGGAAGAAAACACATTAACCTCTCCCACCCCAGCCCTGCCATCAGCCAAAGGGGGATCTTTACAACTCCTAGAAAATCTATCAGCCCACACTCAACCCTCATATTTTTCCAATGCCCTTTTCCTGGTAAACAACAATTAACAGATCAAGAAAGAAAAAATAATCATTCCTTCTGGAAAAATGTTTTTAAAATCTGGTTCTCTTTTTAAACATCACTGATGAATCATTCCATTTTTTTCTTTCCCCGAAGCTATACATTTGTTTTAGTTTGTTCTCCTACTCCATCCCCTTAATATTTAGATCATCTGTCCTGATACATGTTTGCAAATTAAAGCTGGTTTGAGATTACAGTAAAACCATTATTTTTAATAGCCCATTTCAAGGGCAGTGCTAAACACTGCAGAACACGCATGTTACTGATTACTGCTGAGCAGACAGCGGCTTTTGCAGATTAATTTGTAACTGGGAACTACTGTAAACAGATTTCACCAGAAATCCCAAGGAATAAAGGGAATTGGTGATGGTATTTGGCTCCTTGTATTTATTTATTGTTTTAGAAACCTTCTGATGGAAAGCAAGCTAACAGGGGAAGAAGCAAGCCCCTTGCAAAATCCTTTTCCTCTAACCTTCTTTCCTGTTTCATTCACTTATTGGGGAAGATGGATCAGGTCTTCTAAATAATTCTTATTTAAATAGCAAGAAGACCCTTTCATGAGAAACAAGGCCAGTCTAACTACTGTGGGATTTCAGAACCCTATCTTTAAACTTTAAGTTGTGTGAAGAAAAAGTGAGATGACTCTGCCTTTACATGAAGTTATTGTTATATACCTAAAGGAGAAAGGGAGTGGGATGGGGTGGGGGAGAGGGGAGGGAGAGACAGACAGACAGACAGACAGACAGACACACACACACACACACACACACACACACACACACACACACAGAGAGAGAGAAAGAGAGATTAAGATTTAGTGTTTTGTTAGCTTCCTTTGCCCAGGTCCTTCTGATGATTTCCTTTAGTCTTTTTCACAATTTATTCAGTGGAGAACAAGACTGATGATGACGATAATGATGATATTAATATAATAATAATGATGATGCAATGAATTCTCCATTCTTCTAGGTACATCTTCCAAGGTCTCGGAGGGTAAGCGTTCACTCTTGGTTGTATTTGGGGAAGAGAAGCTCAGACGTAGGAATAGCCTTCTCTCAGGCTGATGTCTACATGCCTGGACTGCAGTGTGCCTTCCTCTCGTAGCTCGGAAGGACGCGGAACGGCGGGCGAGGCGGAAGGCAGAGCTGTGTTGCCGGCGCCTGGCGGGCAGAGGCGGGTTCACCTGGGTGGCTGGAGCCGCCGGCGCTGCGCTTTATTTCGGAGCGCAATGCCATCTACCGGCGTCCTGCCGTACCTGCAAGTATCCAGACCTTGAAAGTCGCTCCGCCTCCCCCCACCCGAAGCCAATATAGGGGAAAAAACTCGGAGGCCCTTTCCACGAAATCCTAATTTAGCCAGGACCTGCCAATGATTCCAGACGACCTTTTGTTTTCCTACCGACGTTTCCTCGTTTTGAAAGCAGTTTTGTAAAGGGCAAGGAGGTGGGGGCCGCAGGGTTGGGGCGCTGAGCTCCCAGACCCCCTGATCAGGCCGCACTGTCTGAAGCAATCGGTTCCCCAGATTACTTGTATTTAATACACAATGCATCATAAAACAAATCCCTCATCCTGACAGGAAGAAAATAGAACAGCTCATAGCTCGAGCCGGTCCAATTTATGGCTAAATTAAAAAAAAAAAAAAAAAAAAGAAAGCTCCGACAATGGGCAAGTTGAGGGAGGGCAGGAAATCAATGGCCACGAACCAGGAGCTCTTAAAGGTTCTCAAGCGCCCAACTCTACGGGAATATCTGACCGGGTTTTAGGTTATTTACAAAGGATTTTTCCTGTCCTACCTACCACTGCTGTGCGATTTTCTCTCAAACAATGGCCATTATCTGAAATAACAGTTCAATGTCACAGATAACAGGCCACCGAAACAAATTAGTCACCACCTCTTGTCATTTTCTCTCCCCCAATCCCTCCCTTTTGCTACTATTTTTGTTTTTAAATCAATATTTTGGGAAAATATAGTTCTACTGGATTTACACGTTTATTTGCACTTGGAGAAAACAAAAAGTGGGTGGCACTTGTGTTATCCCGTTTGCAGCTAAAGTTTAACCGTCAGCACACTTTCCAGCCCCTCTTGCCCCACCTCTCCCCCGCAAGTGTCCCTAGACTCGCTTACTTTGCTTAACTTTCCATTGTTGAGCTGGGGAGTTGGATTTTGTCCATTTGTTTTTATGAATGGAGTTTTGTGATAAAAACGCGTTTACTTCCATTTAGCCAGTGGGATTTACTAAATCTTACAAAGTTGGCCATGAATAAATCTGTAGACCCTTTTGTTTTGCTATGTATCCCCTGTATTCTTTCTTCCAATGTCTTTTCTACAATGTATTGGTTTAAATGTACCCAAGGTATATTAGAAAGTTATTAAACATAGGATAGTACCGATTACTAAAAGCAGCATTTATGATGTTAAACGTTCAAAAATAATCTGAGTCGTCAAATTGCTTATTGCACGTTTTGGCGTTCAAGGTGTTTTAATTAATGTATCAAAGAAAATGGCAAAGACTCACCAGACAGTCATCAATCTCTCTAAACCCATAATATGCTGTTTGGGCGGGTTATATGCCAATAATTTTTCAGATTTTAAAATATCTTTAAAGAAAAATATGGTTTGAAAATTTTGCACGCCCTTCCTCTGACCTAGCTACAAGAATGAAGGGAATAAATTAGAGTATGAGTTTCAATTAAAAAAATTTTTTTTAATGCTTAGCAGAAAACTGGAAATGTACATGTCAACTTTTCACTCTTGAGGTTGCTGTTTTCTGAGAATTTCTAAACTATTTATATTTAGTCTGAACTAGCGTCCCTATACCCTAAGCTTTATCCTCCCCACTCCAGCACTACCTCTCCCCCCTACCCCCGCCCCCTCCTGCCTCGGTGCACACACCCTCACACCCCTGAAAGCACTTCTCTACCCTTCCCCATCCCTCCCATCCCCCATCTCTCTCTCTCTCACACACACACATGCACACACACACTCGCGCGCACACACACACACACACACCACACTTGTGCTTTCAAGACATCGAAACGGAGGCTATTTCCCTGGGGAAAGAAATCCTGCCTGGCGAGATCTCCCCATTGGTTGTTTACCCGGAGAAATCTACATGTTTAAGGGGGATGGTGCATCCATAATCAGTCTGTCCCTATAGGACTTGGGTCTTGGCGACCTTTTTGTGACCTCTCCCGCCAGAGGAGGCTGCTGTCACTTTAAAAATTTAAAAGAGGAGCCCGTCTGGCTTCCGATCAGATCACTCTGGGCGGCGGGAGATAGCTCCCTTTCTCCCTCGCCCCGGGTTCTTTCTGGATGGCCGAGCAGATCCTCTTTAAAGAGACAGTTCATGAAATAGAAACCCGGCGGCTGAGCTTGGAGTTGCGAAAGGGGACGATCCCGTGAGGGTCCAGGACCCGCGAAGGCGCTGCGGAGGATCTGAAAGGGGGATAGAGCTCCCCTCGCCTCCCCAGGCCCCCCACCTTTTCAAACTCTCCTCCTCCTGCTTGTTTTCCCCCATTGGAACTGGGAAGGAGAAGTAGAAGTTTTAGTGGGTTTCAGATAACTTTCATTACACATCGGGCTGATAAGAGCAAGAGAAAGTGAGAAAAGAGGGAGGTGATGTGAACCAGAAGGAATAGCTCCGAGCTCATTTAGGAAGGGGGAAAAAGCCAAAACACACCAAACCCGGGTCACCCAGACGAAAGAAGACTTCATTTCTTGTATTAAAAATACACTGTTGGCGGACAATAAATCCGAAACGCGTGGTCCTGGAGAGCAGATCCTAGAGACGGACAAAGTTGTCAGAGACCCATTTGGAAATCGAGACGCGAGGCTTTTAAAAAATTATTATTATTATTTTTAAACATCTCTAAATGTTGCTCGGGATCGTTTGAAAGGATTTTCGTGCAGGAGCGTTGGGGGCTGCTGATTATTTTATTTTGTTTATTTTGATTCTTCTGTGAATGCCTATTATTGCTGAGTTGAGGCCATAGAAATCTAAAGGTAAGAGAACTCCTCACTTTAAAAGGAAAAAAAGTCTGGGCGATGTGAAAGTTTGTCACTTCGGACAGTTTCCTGCCGGGGCACCGTTTCTACGGGCGCCCCCCGCCCCCAGCCTTCTTTCCTCCTCGCCCGCAGTCTCGCGGAGCCCTGCTGCTTATCTACGTTGCTAAGCCGGGCGATTTCCTTGTTCCTCCTGCGAAACGGTGCGGTCTGGACACGTCTCCGGGGTGGGTCGTCCGGCCTTCGGTGGGTTTCTCTGCCGGCTTGTCGGCCTCTTTTCCTTGCGCTCTTCTCCTCCTTCCCCTCCCTCCGTGTGTCTCTGTCCGTCGGTTTCGGGGACGCACAAGGTGCGGTTGCCAAAATCTGAATTCCTGGCACTGGCCACGCGACTTTGGAGCCGCTCTCGGCCGAGTTCCACCTTGCCAAGTAACAGCTTTGCTGTCCAACATCGTGTGCTGCTTCGCGAGAAAGTCACATTCGGACCCTTTGGCTAGATTGTGGGGATTTTTTTTTTTTTCCTTTTGCTGTTGGTTTTTTGAAAGGGCCTTTCTCTAAAGTCTACCTAAACGGTTTTTTTTTAAGCTATCTTTGGAGGTTGACAGCTTTTAAAAACACAGGAGTGTGTTATATGAAATGACTGAAGATGTGTCGTTACTTTATTTTATTCGAGATTTCCGACACGATTAAGACATTTGGGAGACAAATGCAGTTCTGCTAGCAAATCAAAAGTGAATAATTCACCCAGGGGGCAAACGTTTCTGGAGAAAGCTAAGCTTTTGTCTTGGGGCAAGAATATTGAGAGGAAGAATGTTAATATGATGGTGAAATCTTTGAATAATCGTATAACAGATTAGTAAAAAGACATTCTTTGGAAATGAACCTTTTTAAAAATTAATTTTGCTGTTGACAGTGGCAATGCTAATAATGTTAACACGGAATAAAATTACACCTACAATTTTTATGTGCAGTGTATGTAATACTTAACTCCCTGCCCCTGTGAAAGGGTATGCTTGAAAGCTAAGGGGATGGATGCTTCTTGACTTTGAAATTAACAAGTTTTCCACGTCTCTCTGCAAATATGAAATGGAATTAGTATTGCATTTCACTGGCTTTATTCTATGTCCTTTATTAAATATTTCTTTGGTGTGTCAGGAGAACTGCCTTTTCTTTTTCTTTTTTTCTTTTTTTTCTTTTTTTTGCCAGTCAAGGAAACAAACAACAAAAGATCAACCAGAAACCAAACAGACTGAACAAACCAACAAAACCCAGCAACAAACTCCAACTTTTTACTATTTAAAAATGTGCATTGCTATTATTTATGTACCTTCTCAACATCTGGGATGGGGGGAAATCTCAAGTTGCCATTTGAGTTACTCAGCACTGAGAGTTGAAGAAACATCTTAAAGTTTGTAATTTTATTGATAACAAATTTTTAGAATTTGTCCTCTTAATAGAAAGGATGTTTAAGTGTACACTTCTGTCGTTGTTAGTGTGAAGAGGCATCCTTGAAAAAGAAGAGTTTGATTTCTCTCTGTGTGTGTGTGTGTGTGTGTGTGTGTGTGTGTGTGTGTGTGTGTGTTTAATAATATCCCTATCTTATGTTCGATTTTTCTTTTTTAAATTTTGGGACGACTTATTGCCCTTCAATTTCCTCATGGCCAAAGGCTTATTCATAGGGCTTCTTGACTAAAGCCCTTGGAGCACTGGGTTTTTCTTGAAGTATATGGTGAGTTAATGACTTGAATCTGCAATTGGGTGATTGCCTGAATTCTATGCAAAATTGCTTTTGGTCTCAGTACTCAAGAGTTTAATTTTAACTTTTATGTGGTTATGCATACAGCAGAGATCTGTAGGAGTTATTTAATTCAATAATTTTTGTTCTAGGTATATTGCTTAGTCTTTGATAGGAAACTTCCTCGTTTGTATTAACTGATTGACATAACATTACCATCCTTTGTAGTTATTCACCATCAGGTCAACAACTCTACAGCTTTTAATATTGATGTTTAAGACATTATTGCTGTTAGTGAATCAGAATAGCTTGGTTTAAGTACACATGATCTTAAAAATGGAAGTTTCCCTCTTCAATTTTTGTTTAGTGTGTCCTAACTAATGATTAACATTTAGATGGGCCAAATGTAAAATTTCATGAAAAATAACAAGATACAAGTATACCTAATGATGGCAGTTCATTACAGTATTTTAATATATTTTTTATTTGTTCACAAGGAGCCAGCTTTATTTTGCTTACTAGACAAAATATTGAAACATGCGTTGACATGTGTTAACTAAAACCTGAGTTTGCCATACTTTGCATGAGTGTTTCCGAATTCATTATTTTAATTTGTTTTTCTTTAGTTTGTTTGGAAGCACCTATAAGACAAATCTTATTATCTCCTTCAATTAAGAGTGTGATTTAATTGTTTCATGGTAATGAGATGCTAACCATGAAAAAAAAATTTAGATGGAAGTTTTTAAATTAAAGTGCAAAAATGTGAAAATATATGCTTACATGAGACTATACGAATATGAAATATTGACTGTAATGTTTAGAAATATTATGTTAATATACGCTGTTCAATATTATTTTTTGCAAAAATCACATTGGATAAAATTAGCACTAATTTATGCATATGAAAATAAGCATTTTTGAAACCAATTAATCAGTTTTTGTAACAAATTGCAAGTGCTTTATTCCTTTTTAAAAAAGCAGTATGTTGTCATTTTCAAGGTAACTTCTCATTTCCCCTCTATTAATGTGCTTGTGATCTGACTTTTTTTAAGGATCCAAAGAAGGAATATACATTTCAATGAAATATTTTCAAACAACTGATTATTTTAATGAGTGGGCCAATATGGCAATTGATTGTTCTCATCTTCTTCCCTCCAGATCTTAGACGAATTTTACAATGTGAAGTTCTGCATAGATGCCAGTCAACCAGATGTTGGAAGCTGGCTCAAGTACATTAGATTCGCTGGCTGTTATGATCAGCACAACCTTGTTGCATGCCAGATAAATGATCAGGTATGTTGTAAAGATTTTCTTGTCTTTCCTTGAGAGCACAAAAGTATCACTGGAGCCTGAAGAATAAAAATAACAGTAAGCTGCAGTAGACCCTTGTGGCCTGTTTGTTGATATTGTGAAAGATAATGCACAAATATAAGTAAAATGCAGAACAAATTCATATTTAGTACTACTTTCTTTACATTCTTTGGGTAGTCTATTCAGTTTGTACTAGTATCCTTCATAAATGCACCAGTTTTCTTGGTGTGACTGATTTAAAAACTGAGTATTATTACTGCCTACCGTTCAGTTTTTCTTTGCTATCATAGTAGGTACATTCATAAAAGGTATTGAGCTAATCAAGAACATCTTGTGAATTTATGCAGAAATTGGAAGTGATATACTTGAAATGTTATATAGGTTTTATTTGAAATGTATATGCATAGTATCAGTGTTATCTTATCTAATTATGCATTTTATATTGATTTGCCTAATTATAAATGAGAACACTTACTTTTAGATTAATTAAAATACTTTTTTTGGTATATGTTAAAAAGTTTAAAAATAACCCTGCTGGAAACTGCTTTGTGACATTATGGAGGACCATGCAGTGAGGTTGACTTTAATAACAATAACTGTGAAATAAAGATCATGAAAATATCGTGAAACATATTTTACACTTAATAAAATTAGGTTATGAATCTTGTAATATCATATGACAATACCTAAAATAACAAGAAATTCAGCCCATTAATTTTTGTTTTATAAACATTGTTGAGCTAGAATTTAATTATGTTATAATCATTTATTTCTCTTAACCCAATGGTTTCCTAAATCAAATATGTTTCAAAGACCATATTGAAGTGGTTGCTTGGCAAATCTACTATGAAATCACCATCAAGAAGAAGAATAGTTTAAATTAAATGTTTCCAATTGAAAACTTAAATAAAGCTACTGTCAATTGGTCTAAGACTCTATTTCATTCATTATTATGAGATTATTCTTTGGCATCGTACCAGCTACCAGATAATTTTTACTGACTAAACGGTGTAAGAGGTAGTAAATTGTAAAATTAGGTTTAAATGGAAATCATTTAAAAATCTTCAACATATATCAAAAATAATAAACCAATCAATTGTTTTTTCTCCTTGCTATAAGAAAACAAGAGGAATTATTGACAAGGGAAAACATTATTAAATTAGCTATTGATTGTGAACAGAAAATATTCCGTCTATCATATGAGTTACTGTCGCCATCAACAACAGATATTTTTTGAGTACCTACTATCTGTAGATGTGAGAAATACATAGGTATTGTGAGTGAATTAATGTTATACTCCTTACAAAAGGAACTGGAGGACCTCAAATGATAGCTTTAAGATGAAATAATATAATCATATCATAATAATTGTTTGCTGTTCATATTTATTGACAATGGAAGCTATTTCCTTAGACAGATAAAACTGTTGTAGAATCCGTGAAAAGATGATTTAAGAACGGGACTTGTAGCCAATCTAAGTCTATTTGCAGCCATTTTTTCATTTAATATTTATGTGTGTAGTGTTTTATAATAAATGTACTCGTATTGGGAATCTTGATTGCAAAGGGAAACTGTTTTCCTGTTTCTCACTATGAATTAGGCTACTCATTAGAGTAGGCATTTATAATTTTACCATAGTTGCTTTTGAAATATACATTGTAAAATCCATTGTTTTCAAAAGAAAATATGCCAGTTTTATGACTTAATGAATAGCGTGTTTACTTATTTTGACTAAAGAATCAGAGAAAATACTTAATCTGGGAAAACAGACAAGGACAATATTAGACACACATTTTTCTTAAGTGGTAATTTTTAACTCTTATGCTGACAGAAATCTAAGATGCTAACAGAATGCATATCAAATAATGTAATTGTGAAATTCAAGTAAATTCATCCATAAACAACAAGGGAGGAAAGTCAGAGGTAAAAGTCAGATTTGTATGATACGTGTAGATGTATACAATCACTCTTAGCCCAATTGACAAGACAAAAGGGAAGAGACACCCAAATAGTGTATGCATATATTATAAGCATATTCACCTATAAGCACATATGAATATTCTAAAATCCAATTAAAACTAGCAATTCTAGACAGCTTTGAAATGTGAATGTTGGACTAGGTACAATGATAAAAGAGCTGACTAAAGAGATTCTCTAGGTCTGTTTTTTGCTCTCTTTTCCATGAGGAATAGGAGCTGCCAAATGGTGAATAAGCACAACTCATCACATAATGAACACTCCCATTGTGGGAGGTATTATTTAATATTTAGCTATAGAGAGAGACCCTGGTATAGGAGTAATTATTAAGCATTAATGACATCAACTCACCTGTCTAACACAAAAGCAAATGGAACGCTCTACAAGAAATTATAAAAAGTGTTTCTCTTTGCTCTGATTTTTAGATACGGATAAAGTTTATCAAGTGAATTTTAGAGCAAGACAGGTATAAATCCTGGACTCTAAAAAAACGGAATTTGAGATGAAGTTTTCAATTGCAAGTTAGTCATGGTAATAATTAGGTCATCTAACAAAGAAATAAAAAGATTACCCAGGACAAAACAAGAGTGTATAAATTGAACTTTACTTTTTCAAAGATACATATTTTTAAAAATTCTAATGTTAAAAGATCAAGTTTAATCAATTCAGATCAGTTTTTAATGATATGGAGGAGCCATATTAAAGAAAATAAATGTGCTTGCTAAGATTATAATACAGTTTGATAGTAGAAGGACAGTCAAAATGTTGTATGCTGGATAACCTGTATTTGATTTCTTTGTGGGTGAAGAAGTTCTAGAAACAGCATGGATTTTGGTTTTTAAGTAAAGTTGATAAAAGATGTAATCTATTTTGTATCAGAAAAAATAAAAATGAAAGCAACCCAGTTACCACTTTCCCCATACCTTTCTACCAGCATTTTATTTAAGGAAATTTTCCTGAGTAGTTTAAATTTTCCAGTAGATTTCTGTGAGTTATTTCATTTCAGATTTTTTTTTTTTCAGACAGAATGAGCTTTGTGGCAGCTTTCTTTCTTGTCAGTGCTGCCTAGAAAGACTCAAGTTTTGTGATTTTAGACGTCTCTTTCATTTCATGCTTCCAAAATTATTGCAGTGATGTTTTTGGAGATGCACATTCTGAAAACATTGACATCACTGCTAAACCATAATTTCTAAGTAGCTGTGGCTTCTGACTGATATCTTTATTCACCCCTGAAAAAATGTATTAACTACAGTAATTTACCTCTATGAAAGAAGCTATACCAAAGACACTAGTCAATTGAGTCACAGTCACACTCAAGTCATAAAATAATAGATCCATTAAAGATACCCAAGTCTCTTTATCCTTAACATTCTAATTATTTTTCCCTTAAAGTTTCTCTACAATGCTACATAGGTCTATGGCTGTGGCACGGTGTTTAGCTGGAAATTTTTACTGAGACAGACAATGCTTAAATATTTACATTCTAACAACCTGAAATTATCCTTGGTTGCTTTCAGGAGCAAGAATTGGCCCTGAAAGGCAGAGCAGGGTAGGAGCAAAAGCAGAGAGTTGGTTAAGGAAATCTCTTTCCAGACTAGGTCCTCAAGAGGACCAATATAGAGAGGAAGCATAAAAATGTTTTTTTTTCATTATTCAGAGGTTTCATTTACATACAGAAGCACCTATGTGTTTAATGTGAAGTAAACCAAACATCTACATGATATATTGTTTTTTTTTTTTAAAGAAAACTAGTTATTTAGATATTCTTTCCTTTAAAGTCTTGTAGCTGTCTTACTTTTACAAACCATTTTGATTGGTGGACATAACTCATTGCTTTAGGTTTGGTCGGTCTCACCCTGTTCTCACCTCTCTCTCCATCCTTTGATAAGTCTCCTTTTGACCCCACATATACCCTTCGCCTGGATCAGAACCAGGGCTACCTACCCATAGACCCCCATCCACCTCAGACAAGGCCAGTTCTCATGTTTGAATAGATTCACAAAGTTTGGGTACTTATGGAGTAGTTCTCTGGACACAACAGCTTTACTCTAATACATCTTCATAGTGAAAACATATTGGTAATAATCAGAGAGTCACTAAGACACAATTTACCTAAGTTGGCTTTTTAGATTTAAATGAGACCTGCCTTTCCACTTACAATTAATACAATTTATGTAAGTTGACTTTTTAGACTTAAATGAAATCTGCCTTTCCACTGATAGTTAGAATGATCTGGGCGAGTACTTTGGGATAATGTTTTGTATATGTAAGTGTGTGTGTATTCTGTACCATAAGAAGGAACACACTCCTGGCCTGCCCTAACATGGTCTATGAGTAGAATAAAGTTCTCAGAAACCCAAGACATTATTAATCTTGTCATTTACACAAGGTGATAAGTCCTTTCATTTTTAAGTAGGCCCTTGACAGCTGGTATTTAGTAAGTAGAAAAAGAGAAGTCTGCTGTTCACTCTGAATAAAAAGAAATGTGTCGATAAGAGATTATCTAATGCCTGATGTATATTTTGAAGAAATGAGTTACAGAAGAATGAGTGCCCCTCAGAGAATACAAAGTCAGAATTCACTTAAGGATTCTGCCAGCTCCCTTGTGGTTAATGAACGGCAACAAGACTCTACAGTGTTTTCAGTTGGAACAGGCATTGTTCTCATTTGTGCTTTACCTTATAAAGTTTTAACTGCTTCCAGGACGATCCTAGCTGATGTGGCACCCCGCGTTCGCTCTCCTTAGGTCCACGTGAATGATTATATCAGACTGCTGTGACACTAGAACAGCATTTTATTGTGAGCTTATTATGGGCTCAATTATTATTTTCTTTGGATTTTACTATGAAAAAAAATCCACTTTCCTGCATCTTTCGATTAGTACAATTTGTGCAAAACAGCAAGGTAGATTAGCTATGTATACTGCAAAAATGTAATTTGTTACCCTCTTTATACTTTTTAAAAATGTTTGTGTCTACTGTCAGGTAATTTGTTAATTTGCTCTTCCTTTACAAGGGTATCTGTCCACATTTTGTACCACTTCTTTTGATGTTAAAGTTATTATTGGCTTTGGGCATTTTCTTTGCTTTGCTTTTAAGTCAAGTTCCACTTTTATACCAAAGTTATGCTCTGCTGTTTTAAGATGAATGCCAGCTGGCAATACCCAGAGACTGGCTTTGTGAACAGTGCCTAAGCTGACTTTGGGGGGATGTTGTCTGGCTGACAAGTTACTTCCTTCACCTGAAGATGAAACTCTTTCAAACATAGTTTGCCATTTGATTTTTACATCATAAAACAAACATCACCTCATCCCCTGCCCCAGTGAAGTTTCCTTCATGTAACAATACCTAGGATGCAACACTGACATAACGCTAGGATTTTTGTTAAGATTCACAAACTGCATAAGTTGAAAGAGAGGGTGACCTGAAGTATTAAGTGTACATTTTAAGTAGTTAGTGTTTGCATGTATATATCGCCTTTCATTCAGGAAGATCACAAAGCATCACATACACAATAGACTGTAACTATTTCTGGGAGGGCATATAAAAGTCATAAGAATGCTTTACAAGCCATGAAGGAGGATAATGTTTTGGTCAAGGACACAAGAGAAGCCTCCAGCCAAGTAAAACACCAAAGATGATCTTTTTAGCTTCTTTGTAATGTAATGATGGAACTCTTCCCAAAGGTTTGGAAACCATTCAAAATGAACATCAGTTTTTATACAGTCAGATGAAATGACCACATTAAAGACAGGTGGCTAATGGATATTTTTGGGGGGTCTGTAGATAGACCCTCAGAGGTTATTTAAGGAGACATCTTGCAAGGCTTTCAGGCTGGGTACACTGTAAGCTTCGTGTATAATAATGTGCATCTTTATCAATTGCCGTATTTATGCAAACTAGAACTAACAATTCTCTCTCTGTTTTGTTTCATTCAATAAGTTATACTTGGTTTTCTCTTCATGTTACTGACAAAGAGATAAAGATGTGGAGAAGAAAAAAATTCCACACCAAAGATATCTTGGTCTCGTGGAGTCATATTTTTCATTTAGGAAGTGGATATAGCAAGGCAGTACTTGATCTTTTTCAATTAATATTTTCTTGTCTTTAGACTGTGACCCTGAAGACAAATATGGGATACTTTTTCTTTGGAGAAACTAAGGGTGATTTGCTTTGGCAATGCTTAGCCATGATAAAGCTTCCATAGTGTTGAACAAATTTATGTTCAGTCATCAATCTCTGCTGAAGACACTTCTCTTTACCTCTTATTAATTAGGCTCAGAATGTATAATAGGATCCTTCCTGCAGATACTCCTATTAAAATTTACATCATTCCTGAATTGGAGTTTCCCACATTACTATGGATAGATCAGGGTCCAGACTATGTTTCCTAATGCATATATTGTATCTGTAGACTTGATGCCACCTCTCTGCAGTACCAAGACTGACAGATATGTCCATATGAAATGCTGACTTTGTTCAAACATGCAAACGGCTACCTACCTCCTCTCCTACCCACCCTCCAATTGCTGAAGTTCCATTCAGCTTTTCCTTGTCTTCAGAAAGTATATTGAATGAAGGTATAGAAAATAAAGCATTTAGGCCAAATGTTGGGAGCTGGAAGAGGAAGAAATCAACTGTTAACTTCAAAGTGAAAAGACACCAATAGCCAGAAAAGGTTTTCTCTCAGTACAGATTTTGCTGGGAGTATATTTCTCTATTATTTCAATTATTACAACTTCCTGCATAGGTTGAAGGTCATTCATAATTCACGCTTCTGTCATTTTTAGACATGCCAAATGCAGTCTATTAAGCATAAATAAAACTTCCAGTGTTTGATCAGGAAAAATAAACGGGGATTCATAACAATAAAGCCTTGTTCATCTTTTTAAAAGTAAATGTGTTTTCCTTCTTTCTTATTTTCCCCCTTGTGTGCAGAACTTTTCTGTCTCAACAATACAAACATAATACTTCAAATCAATCCACAGATAAAGAATCTGACAGATTCCAGATTTTTGTTCTCTAGTATAATGAACAAGACCCACCTGATTACCATTTGAAAAAACTAATGATAGAGGATTTGGTTGAAAGCAGTCCTTCAAAGTATAAAACAGAGTTAGACTGAAAGTCTTTTATGGCATATTAACTTTCCTATCAAAGTGCTTATGAGTGTCTATGCCTGCTTTACTGCTGTCATCTTGGACTTAACCAAATAAAATGAATAATGATATATGATTAATTCTAATTCCAAGTATATATAATATAAATTTTATAAAACATAATATATAATTACATATAACTTGTATGATATATAATAAGAATTAATCATGTGCCATGAAGCATTCATTCTTATTATATAGAATTATATACATGAGATTACTAATATGAAAATTTAAAAATTTCTCCAAAACATATACTTTGCCATGTTTATGTCAAATTATAAAATATGTAATATATCTAAGCACATTTATATTTATAAATAACACCACATGAAAATGTACAGTTTGGAAGTCTAAATTTGCTCAATCAATTTCATATCACCACTGTCTTTTATACTTAACTTAGCCTTGTGAGTATTAGCTGAATGGATATTCTCTTTGCATTTGGAATTGCTTTCAGGGTTTGATTAAAATAAATTAATTATAATAATTCTGTTTAGGGCATTTAATTTCTATATACATGTATAATATTATAATTATGCCTTAAGCTGTGGGTTTTACCAGTGGTAAAACTGAACAATTTTGGATTTCTAGTTTTACTTTTCAACTACTTGAATCATTTAGAATTTTAAATAAACATTTAGAAATTTCACTAGTGTGCTATTTGAACAAATTTTAAAAATAAAAGAACATGAAGAAATCTGTTACTAAAACATTTACTATAAAAACTTATCCTTATAAATTGAGGTATCCAGAGATCCAAATATAATATTCATACTTACAAAGGCACAAATATTGCTTCATAGAAAAATAAAAAGAGTCTAGCAAGATACTGGGAAAATTTAATTTTTTATGTGATAAAATGAAAAAACCATCTCAACTGGCAAAAGTTTCAGATGTATGGGAGTTAGGTTAGTTCATAACATGTTGTGCTTCTGGATTTTGGTATTAGCTACCAAATAGAAAGTTTTGGAGGAGTTAACACGGTTTTAAAATATTTATTATGACTTTTTAAAAAAATGGAATTTCCATATAATCTATTTTCTTATAGGCCCCATTCTTCTTGTCTTTCACCTTATATTGGGAAGAATTGAGTTTTTTCTTCTCATAGAACATTCTGAGAGAGAGAGCAAAAATAACAAATGAACAACCTTTTCATATTAACTCAAAATTTTCTAAGTGTTGAATATTTTTGAACCTCTCTTTATTTATTGGGGGTATATTCATTACAAAATTTCAGATCCAGGATATTTTTATTTTGAATCCAGAGAACTTTTTACATAAAACCCTGATAGGAGAAGAGACCCATTATTAACTGTTTTATGGAACTTAACAGATTAATTGACTCCCTTCCATTTTTCTCCAACACAAAAATGAGAGAGTTATATTAGTAGTGTCTCTGCTTATGGCACATAACACAGATGGTATGTAATTCACTGGACTGCAATATACTCAAGATTTTGAGAATACAGATTTTAAAGACATTATAACTCTATTTTATAAGCATGGTCAAACATACTTATTATATACAAATATGTGAGAAAATCTATATAAATCACTCCTTTGTTGCATTTTTATTTGCTGAAAGATCTATTTTATAACATAAAAGTATATTTTCTGAAAGGCCTGATTCCTCTAAGATGACATCCCATCATTTCCCCACTATATTGTTTCAGGGCTACAAATTTTCATTTTGTTTTCATTTAAATTACTCCTGTCTCTTCTCAAATGCCTGCTGGCATACCATTAATGTTATTAGAAAGTAAATTAAATTTATATGTAGACATCCCTAGATTCAAGGATTCAAATTATACTTTTGGGCCATTGTAATTAGAAGAGGAAAACAATGTTGCTTAAGTGTCTCCAAAACCCTAAGGGATGAGAGGTAATGAAGATCAGGTGGTAGAAACACCTTGAGAAAAGGACTAGCTTGGTAAGGGTATGGCAAATGGAACTTCGAGGGACATTCTTATTGCTATATGGGGAAGCATGCCCAGAATCTGCCCTCATTATATCTGGCGCTTGCCAGTTCTTTTCAAACCTCAGTTTCATGAGCACCATAAAAACTCACTTAAAATTGAAAAGAACACCCTGAAGTTAAAATCCACTTTGCTTTTCTTTGCCTTTCATGGCTTGGAATGTCACCTTTTACCTCCAGTAAATAAAGCCAACATCAACACTCTTCCGTGTCTTTTATTTTGTATGCACTCAATATTCTTCACATGACAATCTGGACTCTTAAAGGGAAATTACAGTAGTGATCTATGTCTTGGCAAAGAGAATTGTCTTTATAATATATAGTTACAGTGTATCCATCAATTTCTTTTGTTTCTTAGACTGTTCACATTGGATTGAGTAAATCTAAAATGGAATTAAAAGAGACATGATTAATAGTGGACTACAAAGAAATAATGATATCATAATACTCTCTTAAAATGACCTGACGTGTGTCTAAGTAGTATTCCCCAATAGAGACAATTGCACTGTTTTACTGTCTTGTAGGGTATTGTCTCTTTAACCTCACTATTTCCGAGAAGCCACCGAAAAGTTCTAATATGTCACAATTCAAATGTCAACATGTTGTTGGAAAGGAAGCTAATAAGTTAAACCTTTGAGAGATGCCAAAAAAAGAGGTGATTCAAACTGTTGAGAGAAGTCCATTGTTTTCTAAGGGGAAATAGAACTCCAGAATGAAACAGTGTACTTATAAGTATTTAACTGGAAAGTTTAGGGGAAAAAAGCAAACTCACACATTATTTTATTATTATTTTAAATCTGGTAATCTTTAAAAAGAACTGTTCTCAGTGTACTTCCAAGGAAAAGAAAATGTGAACAGCTAGGGTTAATAGGATACAAAGTGCAAATAAACTATTTTTTTTATAGAAACAGCACATAATGAGGAGTAATTTTGCCAAGTTAGTCTGGATTCTATCTGTGGACAAATACAAAGAATCTTAGGTTATATTATAACATATTATAGCAACATTTTATGTTTAGCATTGTTTTCTATAAACCAGCTTCAGGTGGTTCAACTACTATTGAATGAAAAAAAATTATTTTATTTTGACAGGAAAGAAGCTAAGCAGAAAATACTCCTCATTAAGTTATTTTTCAAATTTAGCACAATTTTGTGCTCCGGTCTTGTTATAGAAAAATAAACAATTGGACTTTAGAGCCACCTACTGGAATAAAGAGGCACGTACAAAGTTCTCATCTTTCCAAAATATAAATAGATAAATAAAATTAAAGTATGAGCATTTCTGCTGATCTTATAAGACATCAACTTATGCAGCTTTTCTTAGTTTGAAATATCATGTGATCTTGCAAAAAACCATAGTTAACAGTAATATCTTCTAAGAATATATTCTTAGAATATGATGGTGGTTGTTGTGTTATTGTTTTGGTAGTGTATGTGTGTGTGTGTGTGTGTGTGTATGTGTTTTGCTCAGATATTTAGAATCTGGACTTTTTTGGCTTAATAAGATTGATTCTGGGCTGGGTGCAGTGGCTTACTTGTAATCCTAGGACGTTGAGAGGCCTAGATGGGCAGATTGCTTGAGCCCAGGAGTTCGAGACCAGCCAGAGTAACACAGTGAAATCCCATCTCTACCAAAAAATACAAAAATTAGCTGGGTGTGGTGTTGCATGCTGTAGTCCCAGCTACTCAGGTGGCTGAGGTAGTAGGATCACCAGAGCCCAGGGAGGTTGAGGCTGCTGTGAGCTGTGATCATGCCACTGTACCCCAGCCTGGGCAACAGATTGAGACCCTGTCTCAAAAAAAAAAAAAAAGAAAAGAAAAAAGAGATTGATTCTGTTTGTGGACATTCTTAGGAAGATTGGGAGAAAAGACTTATTGGCACTGTTAAAGAGAGAGAAGAATATATGAGGCAAAGGAATAATTTCCTTCTCAGAGTACTCTAGGGTTTTGCAAAGATACTGTGGTATAATATAATTGGTCTCATTTTCACCAGTTAATCGTAGAACTTCATTCTTTCTTCTAAAACCTCTATCTGATTATGGGATTGTTTAATAAATAACCTTAGAATGAAAAAAAACTGATGACATTTTTATGGTAGAATGAATAAACATCTAAAGATTTTCATGCTTAAAAGCTTTTTTAAATGAACAAAAACCAAAAAACAAAAAACCTGGTCCCTGGACAGGTAAGTTGGACAATGACTTGCCTAAGTCACCAAGCTGCTCAGGAGAAAGGCAGTGGCTCTTGGAAATTTCAGGTCAGGGTTCTTTCCACACTTGCTCCACTGCTTTTGAGTCAGTCATTAACAGATTTATTAAATGCTTCCTCTCCTCAGCACTTTGCTAGAAAGCAAGGGGAATAAGCACCACCCCCACCACCCCAATAAATGAATCAATAAAATGCATAATGCCTACTTTCAAAGAGAGAGGATCAGGAGCTGGGCCTGAGGGCAGGACCCTGGTATGGGAGCACCCTTCTGATTGGTGAGAGAGGGGTTAAGTTTTGAAAAACAAAATACTCTCCTTTGTTGTCATGATCCTTTATGTCATGTCCTTTCAACCTATTACCTTCCAAACACGTTGTTGAGAAGGCGCTACTTTTGCAAACTTGCTTAAGTGGGGAAGGTACAAGGTAAGCTAGGCTACTGCTGGAGAATTCCAGGCAGGATTCAACTCTGTGAGTACGTGTGGTTTGCTAGGGTGCTTTGAGGATTCAGAGAAGGGAAAGTTCTTCGTTAAACATTACACAGGATATATGTGACGCAGCTAGCCTTGCATTAAGAAAATTTGATTTGTGAAGTAGGATTTGGAAAAGATTTGTGAACTGGCTTGAGAGTCACAGCTTTCCATTTGTCACCAGAGGGCTGGTTTTCAATATATAAAACAGGAAATCACACTTCTTTTGATAAAAAAGAAAAAGAAAAAGATGTTTGTTAAGGTGTTTGTACAGGTATCTTAGTGTATATCTTGCCCTTTGTTAATATATATACATCTCTCTCTTTCCTGATTCCATCCACCTTTATTTTGTCTTTAAAGATATTCTATAGAGTAGTTGCAGACATTGCGCCGGGAGAGGAGCTTCTGCTGTTCATGAAGAGCGAAGACTATCCCCATGAAACTATGGCGCCGGATATCCACGGTTAGTACCACTCACGCCACCCTCCTTATCACCTTATCATCGCGACTATAAAGTAGCATCGAAAGCATCCATTGTTCCTGGTGTTTGTTAGTTTCCCTGGCTTTTCAATGTCAGTTTCAACAAGTTCCTTCTCTTGAAGCAGCTATTTTCTTGGTTTGACATCTGGCCACTATTACAGTGAAGCTGAAGTAAGCAGAGGTCTTCCTTAAAGTGGAGGTCAAAGGAATTTTGAGCATTTGCGCAGAACCTCACCTAGTTAAACCTTTTGTCAATGCATTAGTTTATGGTGAGAATCCTTTCACTGTGTAACGGATCTTTCAGGGAGCTTGATTTTGAGCTTTCCTAAATCAAGGGGATGTTTCTGTCATCTAATGTTCTATTACTGGGAAAAGTGTTTCTACTGCAGGAAAATCTTAGCCAATATGACCATATGGGAGGGGTGTCAGGGAAGAGGCCTTGGGAAAAATGTATAGATGAAGAAATTATAGAGGCAGAGGACTTTTTATTTGCCAGAGGCCTATTCTAAATCAAAAGATAATAAAAAATAATGATAATCAGTAGTGATACATGTTTAGGTCAGATAAAGAGAAAATTTTGCTTATATTGATTTGTGTCATTGAGATGGAAATTTAATATATATTTTTCTTTTTCCTCTTTCTGTGTCCAAGTATACTGTGATTTGGTTCAACATAATCTAGTGGCATCTTTAGAATATTTTGTAGTTGGAAGGTCTATTGGGAAGGATTACCCATTCCAACCCATCACAGAGTCAGGGATCACCACCCTTCATCTCTTTAGCATCCCAGATGGGAAAATCTCAGCTTTTGCTTTTATATCTCCAGGAAGCTGCCACTCTTGGCGGGTTCTCTTTACTTGAACAATTTTTCCTTTGGACTGCATTCTGCCTCTTTGTAGGTTATACAAGAGTAGTTGTATTTGCAGGGGGAGGGGGAGGGCTGGCGGCGGGGGCGGGGGGCGCTTTTGGTACTCATTTTCCTCTTAGCAACTCTGACATGCAAATAGCTTTAGAAACCTAGAGTTCCCAATTAGCCTGGTAGAGTTTGAGCCTGAAGAGGGTGTCTGGCCCAATGGGAAAGGGCTCTTCGGCAGCAAGGAGTTCTTAGATGATGAAGAACTGCAATCTGGGCTTTCTCTGGTGCAATGAATATTTCATCTGTAAATGTTAGACCTAAAAAGGTTTTCAAACAATTATTTTTATTTAATATTAATGATTAGGTTAATACTCCAAAAGTTTTAAATAGAAGTGACTGTTCTTTTAGGGCTGCCATTCATAAATTACTTTCCTTTACAACACTCTTGAACCCATCAGTTGCTTCTTGTTTTCAACATATCATGTTTACATCCATACATACACTACATATGTTACATATAATTCTTATAATATTTAAATGATGATTTGTATTTTATACTTCTAGGATTCAACTCTTCCTAGGAAAGAAAATGAAACACATGTATTGCACACCTACTATATGATAGATATTATATACTCTCTCTATATTGTCTCATTTACTCTTTTATGCATAGAACCTGTGGGAAAGAAATTATATCCATTTTACATATAGGGAAACTGAACCTAATTAAGGCTAAGTAAATTGTCCAAGAATGCATGGCTAGTAAGTGGTGAGGTCAGCATTCAACCCAAAATCTTTGCTGTCTCTGATACCTAGGCTTTTTCCATGCATGATGTGGCCTAGAGATTCTGCTTGTGTTCGGACTCCTGGCTGAGGTCCTAAATATAGATCTTAAACAAATGAATAGTATTACAGACTATAGGAAATGTTTCTCCTAACCAGCTAATGTCATTGAGAATCCTGTCTTTAGAGCCAAGTTGATTTTTTTAGAACACTTCCCTCTCTCGACCCTCTAAATCCAAAGATTTCTGTTACCACTGTTACTGGTTTAGTATAAACTAAACCAGCATCTTATGTGGATTTCTGCAGCAGTGTCTCACTTGGTCTCTCTGCTTGACTTCTCATACTGAAACTGGGAAAATTCTTCTAAAAACCAAGTCTGAATATATCCCTGCTTTCCCACTTTCAATGGCTGTTTTCCTTCTTAGCATAGACTTATAAAGCCCCTGGTGAGCTGCACCCCCTCCAGCTTCATTTTCCACTCCTCCCTTACATGTGCTCTGTGAACCTACCATACTTTACTACAGCTCTACCTTTCTGTGGATGTGCCATGTTCTTTTTTGCCTCTGTCTCTTCCCATTTCCCGAAATGTGCCCCCTCCTTCCACTTCACCTGGCTGATTCTTACTCATTACAGAGCCTTTTCTGAACCTCTTTTCAGAAAAAGAATACTTGACTAAAAGAATTCTTGGACTAAAGTATTCCCCCCAAAACATTCAGTCAATGAACAATTGAAGAGTAACATCTTCCTTGGCCATAGGTCTATAAAAGAGGGATTATGTGTCATATTGTTTGCCGTGGGTATTTTTTAGCAGTGTGAGCTGTTTTCAAGACTTCTGTGATTGTATCTGTGTGATCTGTGCGGAGTGTGGCTTTATGAGTGGGCTGAAAGCTATTCAAAAGACAAAAATAGAAACAATGCCATCACTACCTGACATTTTATAACCTTGTTATCTCTATACCACACTACTACCATTTATTTATCTTATTGATTTAAAGTGCAAATTAATGATATGTTTTCTATTTAACAAAGCTATGACAATTAGCACTGACCCTGGGGTAACATAAATTAGCCTAGAAGGGTACTAAAAACATCCTGTGTCCCATTATTAGTGATGATGAATGTTAAACTATTTCCAAGTTTGCTGACATTAACCAGGTTAAACATGGCTCAGATAGGGACTCTGTGTCCCATGTTCTTTCCAGATAATATGGCACTGGCATAATAAGAAGTGTATGGAATAGAAATGGTTTCAAAACCTTATACAGCCACATAGCTCTATACTCCCTGACTGTTTACATTTGACTTCTGTGAACCTGAAATTCTCATCTGAAAACCAGGATAAAAATCTGACTTACAATTCCTCATAATCAGGTTTTAAGGAATGTCAGTAATCCACATACAGGGTTGAGAAAATATATGATGCTCAGTAAGTCGTATTTATTATTTTTAGTATTCTCTGGACCTGAAAAGGTTTAGTCAAAAAGTTTTACTGATCAGGAGGAATATACTCTAGTCACAGCCATTGCTTATGTTATTGTTCCAGTCTCTGTCCTTGGTTCTTTACATATGATATTTCTAATCCAGATTAAAATTGACAAGATAGAAATGACAATCAAATAATACCTATTATGTCTTGTAAAATTTGGTAAGATTGGCTGGTTTGTGATGGCAATTCCTGACCACCCAATCCTAACACCTGAATTGTTTTCACAGAAGAACGGCAATATCGCTGCGAAGACTGTGACCAGCTCTTTGAATCTAAGGCTGAACTAGCAGATCACCAAAAGTTTCCATGCAGTACTCCTCACTCAGCATTTTCAATGGTTGAAGAGGACTTTCAGCAAAAACTCGAAAGCGAGAATGATCTCCAAGAGATACACACGATCCAGGAGTGTAAGGAATGTGACCAAGTTTTTCCTGATTTGCAAAGGTTAGAAATGGCATGTTGTACCATACAACTTGTGTATTTTTTCTGCAATGTTATGCTGAATTTTGAGGCTTTGTGCAGATGGAAAATTTGGAACTCCAGTGAGCTGGACAAATGCACTCGTGACATGTTCAGAAATCATATTTGCCTGGATATTCTCATCTGTAAAACATTTACAGTGAAATTGGAATTAGTTATTTTGATGTCAGATGAAAAATAATGTTATATTATTATTAAGTAGTGTTATTAAAAACTGAAGGCTTAACTTTATAGTAAATTGTGATTTAGAGAAAATATAGTGCTGGAACAAATTAAAGTAATCATATGTCAAGAAACAATAAAGCTACCCCTAGGAACATTCAGATGATTTTTTAAAGGACTAGATCTGGTATTCACTTAATGACAGGTAAATGATCTTTTGATAGAGCAGTAATTCATGGATTTAATTTCAACAATTGATCTAAATTACATATATATAAAAGAATAAGAGAAGCATGTTTGATTTCCCAAAGTGTTGAATTTCCTAAAAGGAAAAAGAGAAACACAATAACGTAAATGAAGTAATTCTTTAACACTTATTTTTAACACAATAAAAATTATATTTCAGTGACATATTAACTTTTTATAGCCTTTTGAATTTTATTCTATAACTTTTTAAAATTGCTGATAACAACACTAGAACCTACTTTTTGAAAAGTATATACTAATTGTACTACAGAATGGTCTTTAAGATTAGAACAGTTTAGAACAGTTAATGGGTTTTTTTGTTTGTTTCTACCTAATGATTTTTGCCTTGGTCCACAAATAATTTTAATAATTGTATTCACTATTTTGCTTTTAAATCTGGAAATTATCCTTGAAACTTGTAATCAGAATTTTAAATGAACATCACATTATATTTAAATGGGAATGGTAGTATATCAAATGGCCTTACTCAAGAATGGGAATTACTCAGATTTTGTCTTTGACAGTCCAACTTCAGTTTACCCTTTTGTTTCCTTTCCTTCTTTCCTGGATCCTTTTCTTCCTCTCATTTTCACCTCATGTTTAGCCCTATATCCTCTTCTCCTGGTTACGCCTCTTTTAGGAAAGGATTTCATCTAGTAGTTCATTTTAAGGCATAAATGACTAAAAGGCATTAAGCATAATCCTTTCTGTTGAGAAGACTGAATAGAAAGGATAAGTATCTAGCTTTGAAAATTTAGGACTAATTTAGCTATTAGAGAGTAAACATTTTACCGAACAAGAGGGCTTTCCCAGAACTTTTTAAACTCACCTCTGCCACTTCATATAAATCTTCATAGAGAATAAATCAATTATGTATGTTTAGTAAAGTGTGGATTTGTAATAAAAAAGCCACAGCATGTCCCTTTAATATAATTGTGCCCAAATTTAAAAAAAATGAAGCTAACAAATACAAATGAGTAGGAAAAAATATTTAAACTGTAAAGTAATATCTCTGGTGTCAGAAATAAAGTCCATTTCCTTCAGTTGTGTTATAAAAAATAATGAACGGCATTATAAAGCAAAAATTGACCAACTAAACACTAAAATGTAATTCTTACTTTCTACTAAGAGTGTACAGCAATACTTCTTGGGTGGAGAAAGCCTCTTAATCTGCCTAGCTGTAAGATTAAGCCTGAGTCAACTCTATCTAATGCTGAAACCAACTGTTAGTTTAGTTGATTCAGTCAAACATTTAGTAGAAAACAATAAGGAAATCTAATTATCTGTCATTGCATGAATTCTCAACATTTATATTTTGGTAGTCCAGCCATATGGATAAAGCATGTCACTATGCAATTGAATGCTAATCCTCCAACTGGTATTTTTGGTTATAAATTATATGATCTAGCCACATTCAGAACCTTTATTTTCTGAATATTTTTTCCTTTATTGAATGCTATGTTGTCACTTTATGCTTTAAATGACAAAAATTACTTTCTGGATTTGATCTGTTCTTCTGCTGTCTATCCTTTATGTAAAATCTTGAGAAAAGAATGCAAACAAAAAAATAGGAGCAAGAAAGAAACAAAGGTCAATGTGCAAAAGGTGAAAAGAACTGAAAAGAACTCAAAAGTCTGATCAAGGCTCTATAGATTGAGATAAAATTCCACGAAAAGCAGAGAAGTCTCACTGACTGACTGCATTGCTTCTATGTTTATGAAAGCAATGCACATTTACTTTTGTGAAAATGACTTGCTTTTTTGTGCTTTTTATTACTGATTAGCTGGAAGCTAATAATACTATGGAACAATATGGAGTTTCTGCCCGATTAGAAACAAAGAAGGGAAAATTCCTTTTGCTTTGTTATCTTTTTACACCTACATGTTCATAATATACTCTTAAAATTAAACCATATCCTTGGAATTAGGGGGAGGAATAAAACTCAACATATAGGCCAAGCTTTTGCCACTAGATTTCAGGGTTTATGATTTGATATATAGCATAGTAGAATATATATCATAAAATGGCTTGCCTGTATGGGTTGCTAGGGACGGACAGTGAGAATTGCAATCTGTACAGTGATTTTGGAGGATGTCCCTGACTCATTTCAATGTTAACGACAGTTGTTGGTATCTCTGTCTTAACTCTTTTATTAACATTCCACTCTGTAACAAACAGAGGATTACATATCGTAGATAAAGTTAGGGCCTTTCTTATGACTCCACACACCTGTACTCTCCTAGTACCTTTTGTTCACAGAGGTATCACCACCTGTGCTCAGAATAGCATTTCCAACTCAATTGATTCATGGGGCAGGAAAAATGAGTTCTTGTGCCAGTACGAATAGAGTTGTGGGGAGGAAGCTGAGAAAGAGAAAATTAGGAAATGCATTTCTAATTTATCAAGATATGAGAATGGGCACTTCATTTTCTTACATATACTCCCAGTCACACAGTCTGTATGACCACTGGATAATTTATTCTAGGTGCACAAAGGTCTTAATTGGTACTGATATTTATAGCATTCATCACACAAAGAAATAAAAGAAAATAAAAGAATGCTTTCATGGTTGGTACTTTTTCTTTTCTAAATAAGTTTTTTATTGTGGAGCGCTTCAAATATACACAAAACTAGAGAGCGGATAGGATTTTTAAAATCCCATATGTTCAGCTTTAATAATTATCACATGAAGCCAATCTTGTCATTATACCTGCTTTGAATTATTTGAAACAAATTCTGGACAGTATATCATCTTATTCAAAAATAGTTCAGTATGTGTCTATAGAAAGTAAGGACTCCTTAAAAACATAAGTTCAATACCACATTAAAAATAATTTCTTAATATTATCAAATATTCAGTAAGAGCACAAATTTCCTCAGTTATAAAGTTTACTGTTTTGTTTGAATAAAGATCAAAATAAAGTCCACATATAGCAATTGATTGACAAGTCTGTTATGACTATTTGAATCTAAAGGCTCCCCCAGAGGGCAGTCTCTTTCTCTCTGTGTCTCTCTCTGTCTCTTTCTGTCTCTGTCTGTCTCTCTCTCCACCACCTTCTTTCTCTTATTACAATTTATTTATAGAAAATTATAGAAGAAACTGAGTTGGATTCTGCTGTTTATATCATTGTGGTGTTAACATCTTTCTCTATCCCCTCTAATTTCCTATAGACTTGTAGTTACATCCCAAGCCTTTGCTGGGATTTACGCTCAGTGTTTCACCAAGAAGATTTCATTGATGGTGCCATTTATTTCTACCCGAAGTCACATAATGGATTGCCTAGATTCATTAATTCTTTAGGAGCTTCAAAACGAATGTACTCTAACTCTATCATTGTTTCATCATTTATTACCTGGATTAATTTCGCGTAGAGAACCTTCCCTTCATAGCCTATTTGTTTACCCCAAAGTGCAGTTTACATAGGAAAAGCAGATATGTGCACAAATATTTTCCCTTTATTTACCAGTTTTAGGAATAATGATTTGGCTTTCCTGCATCTTCCTTGGGAGACCATTGGGGTTCTGTTTGTGTTTTGAATATCTTTATTGATAAAAGAGTTGCTGTTCTTATTGATGCTTCACTTGCCCCACCTTTGGTCAGTGGGCATCTCTTCAAGTTGGAACCCTAATTTTTTGGATATTATCTATAAATTGCTTGCCTTTTGTCATAACAAGATGTTCAAGGGCCATCTTGTGAATTTCATAGTTCAGATTTGAAATAAGCTATTTTACCACGGAGCTCTGGTTACTTTATTTGGGGGTAGTATCCCAGTGTGTTATGTATTTAATCAATAAAGGTGTTGCAGACATCTTCTATCACATAATCCATTATCTATAATATTTGCTTTTCATTATATTCATGCAGATTTCATATACAAATTTTAGAAAATGGGGGCAAACATTTGAGAAGATAAAACAATTTAAACTTTAAAACAGAGAAACTATGCTTGTGAGAAACTTCTAATCATGTTTTTCTTTTAGGGGACTTAAATGTTGCATCCACTTAAAATATTACACACTTTTTTGCTCCCCAATTCTTAGGTTTTATATATTATGTAATATATATATATGATACACACACACACACACACACACATCCATGCATATATCCATGCATCAGTCCATCCATCCATCCATCTGTCCATCCTAGATTCACTAGAGATTATATACATTAGACAGAATACTTTTAAGCATTTTCTGTTTGAGTGTTTGTGTTTCAGTTAAGTGAGTATTAAGCTCACAAGTGAGCTTAATACTCACTTAATTGACTACTCACTTAATTGTGAGCTTAATACTCACTTAATTGTGTTTCAATTAAGTGAGTATTAGCAATACGTGTTGTTGTTAGAATTGTGTAGTGAATCCAAAACTGGACAAATAGCTTGTTGTTTATCATGCTTTTAAATTGGCAGATAATCCCTGCCAGCTGTATCAGATTTATTTTCTAACAACAAGAACACATCTTCATATTGGTGACACAGTCCAGGAGACACAGTCCAGGAAATATAAAATGCACTTTTGTCTGTCACAAGCCTGTTTCTGCTCTTCCCTCCTTCTCAGTTCAACTCCTTTTCCTTCTTGTTTCTTTAATTACCAGTTGGATTAACAATAAAATGTTGTTCCGTTTATGAATGCATCCTTTGTCTTTTAAAATCTATTGTTCTCTTAACAGCCTGGAGAAACACATGCTGTCACATACTGAAGAGAGGGAATACAAGTGTGATCAGTGTCCCAAGGCATTTAACTGGAAGTCCAATTTAATTCGCCACCAGATGTCACATGACAGTGGAAAGCACTATGAATGTGAAAACTGTGCCAAGGTACAGTGAATTTGTAGGCTACTTGGCCTCTCTATGTCATCCTGCTCTCTCTTAATCCATCACTTGCTACGATATATAAAAACAAGCCTTCAGAGGGGAAACTATAAATATCTTGAGAAAAGTACACTGAGTGTTGTATGCTAAAAGGCATTAGTAGAGTGTATAAAAACACTTAGTGGGTATCCTTTTATTTTTGTAAGGGAGGAAGTGAGGCTTAATGGTGAGTTCCAGAACTAGGTGTCAGACATCCTTGGTAAATTCCTGGTTCCGCTACTGATTTGCCAGTGTGGAGTTGTTTTATGGCCTTGCGGAGAATGAAAATTTTATCCAATTCATGTTACTGATTTCTTTTAATAGCAATTTGTGAGGAAGTCACATAAAATTTCTGAATGCCTATTCAGAAAGAATGGGTGACTCTTATATTTGCAGATTTTTCCAACCAAGGGCTCACCATAAATTATGACTTGGTTCTAATTAAAATGTATAGAGCCTCTGTCAGTGCTGAACAACATAGGGATGATATGGAAGTACTCAACTTAGACCATAACTGTGAACTATGGTAAAAGTAATTCACTTCTTTTAATTTCATGTTTCTTGATTAACTCAAAGATGTCCTGGTGTCATTAAAGTTGCTTTCTATTTCCAAAACACATTTCCTAGCATTTTAATAGCTTTTTTTTTTTCATGCCAATGGAAATTTCTGTACCCCACCAGGTTACTGGGTAGTCATTCTCCTGTGATTACCTTGTTCTATGCACATTAAAATTTTGTATGTTTTTTTCTCATAAAAATTAAAAAATACATTTGAAATTTCTTTAGGGATGTTTTGCTCTCAGATGTGTTGGGTGGCTTTTTTATTTTTGTTTTTAGTACAATGTCTAAAGGAATGGTTTTAGCTTGCTAGTAACTCACTGAAAGAGTGTTAGAATTTTACGCCCTAGGGAAACTCTTTAAATAGATTTAATGTAGTTAGTCAAAATCCTCCAAATTTTTGTACACAATGTGTCTTTATTTAAAGGGTGAAAATAGCACACCAGTTTTAATAATGGCTTAACCAGCATTTTATTATTCAACTCAAGTCACTCTAAATGGTATCAAAAAGGCCTTGAATATGGCCTAATAGTGCCATTCATTATTTGGTTCAACTGATACCAGTGGATACACCATGCTAAGGATATAGAGCAGAATAATTTACAGTTCCTACCCTAGAGGAGAGTACATTTTGGAAATTAGAGGAGAGTACACTTTTGGTCTTTGGGGAAAAGAAAAACAAAACAAATAAGAAAAATTTCTTCTTGAGTCATCCCGGGTCTTCTTTATTGTGCCCTTGAGTTAAGTTTCTTGATTAATCAGTACTCATTTCCTAGCAGGTTTTCACGGACCCTAGCAACCTTCAGCGGCACATTCGCTCTCAGCATGTCGGTGCCCGGGCCCATGCATGCCCGGAGTGTGGCAAAACGTTTGCCACTTCGTCGGGCCTCAAACAACACAAGCACATCCACAGCAGTGTGAAGCCCTTTATCTGTAAGTTTTCAACACTCCAGCCCTCCTTCCCACATCTGTCTCTTCCCCAAAAGGCACTGTGACCAGGAGAGTGGCTGCACATGGCCTTTAGAGGGTCACCGTGTTAGCTATTTATGGTCCAATCCAGTAGGGCTATTTATGATTACAAGTAAATCTTTTATAATCAGATCCATGGTATTTTGTCCTTGATTCCTGGGGTGTTTTCTTTCAGAAGAAATCAATAACAGGTAGAGAAAAGAAAATTCATTAGATAATCAAAGGGAAACCTCCACAGGTTGTAGGATTTAATCAGGACAATCAGATTTGTCTCATATTGTAAATGTTCATGGCTTTGTAAAGCAGCAAATAGCAGCCATCACTAAACAAGATGAAGTGATTAAAAACCTGTTCTGGATCAGAAAGAGCTGGAAGAAGCCCACCTGGGAAGTAGGCTTACGGCTCTGTGTGCATGTATGTGAGTATATGTGTGTGGAGAGAGCGAGGGGGATGAAATGCTTTTTAATCTACCCATTGTTGCCGATCACAGGCTGTCGGATCTGTAGTTCTCTGTTACTTGAAGAAAAGCAGAACATTTTCACTTAGATGCTGGACATGCTGTTTCTCTTACCCACTGCACCAAAGCAAGTTTATAGGCAGTGTGCTTTTAGGGGACATCTGATCTGACCACCTACTTAGAACATCCCTGTACAGAGCACTGTAGTAACATCCTTCAAATACAATAAAACTCAGCTCTCATTTGCTTTTTCTTCTCTCCGCCCACTCCTATTCTCTGTATTGTGCTCAAACATTTTATAAGTAAAATCAGTTGTTCTTAGTCTACCTGGGCAAAAAATCTGGGCTTCTTTTAATCCATTGCTTGGCGGGGCATATAAATACAATGACTTATTGAGTTGTGCTACAAACGTCAAGACTGATTTTGGACCCAGATACACATAGAATTGGTTGAAGCATACTCAGCACTTGGCAAGACCTCTGACTTTGGTTTGTAGTAGGTATATGAGACACTACTACAGGACCTGATGGAAAAAACTATTTTTCAGTGCCAACATGGAGATGCCAGAGACTAACTCTCCTTTGCCTCGACACAGCTTTCTTTTGTGTGTCCAAGCACCAAAATAGCTTTTCTTTCCTTTTCCAGCTTACACTAGAGTCCTGTTTTGCTCATATGCTCTTCTGTTCCCCGGGTGAAGAGGACTAGCAGATTAAAAAAGGGTGCTCTCATCTCCCTTGGGGAAGCTCTATTGAAGGTCACGGGAAATAAAGCATTCAATAGAAATTTTAGACTTCTTGTCGCAAAAAGGCATTCCTGACTCTTAAGTCTTAATGCCCTGAAAATGTACTTGGAAGTACTACAGGCATACGATATTAAATAGTTCATTTATTTCTGATTCCTCAGAAATAAATTTTGGTAAGTTTTATTATGTTTTGATGTGAGAAAAAACTAGAATAAACCACAAGGAATTCTGATCACTCATTTAATGCTTTCTCTATTATTTAAAATAAAAGTCAGAAAATATAGACTTCTGCTATCGAAGATTCTGGGATCTGGAATTTTAATTGTGTTGAAGACAAGTGTTTCACTTTAAAGTGCCATAGGGTGTCCCTTTCCAATCAGATTGCATAAAGTATTTCCCTTGAATGTATTTTCAGTAATTATTGGTAAATTTAAATAGCAGATGGCATTCTTCAAATTTAAAATCTGCCAGAGAACCATGGAGTAATTATGAATAATAGCCATGTAATTTCAGAACAAAAGAGATTAAAGATCAGGAAATGGTGTGGAGACTTGAGTGGAGGAGGTTCACCTAGGGCTGATATCTGTTTCTCACCAGAAGGCCACACACCACGATTTACCCCCACTGGTGTGTTTATGGCAACTGTCTCTTATTACAGTGTGCTGCCACGCTTGAGCCCAAAGTCACCAGTGCTAAGGTAATTACTCACTGCCTTTACAGAAACCTACAGCTTTCCCAAATAGAAACCACATGCTCTAATAGGCTGAATATATTCAAAATGCCTCTTAATTTGTTTAATAAGTAGAAAAATGCAATGTTAACTGCTGGCTAATTCCTTATTACTGAGAAAATTACAGTAGAGTATAAACTTCAACATCAATTGAACCAGTTTACCTGGAGGCCTGGTAGTTTGTGGTATGCCAGGCCAGGCCTTCAAGTGCCGAAAACAAAGCCTCTGCCTAAGAAAACATCCCAGATTCGATGTTCTTGAGCCCAGACACAGACAGCACTCAGCCATGTAACAACGGGTGCCACCAGAAAAGTCAGCTGAACTTCTGTTACTCCAATAGAGAGAAGCTCTTGATTTTTTTTTTTTAAGCCATCTGATTGTAAGAAAGAAGTGTAGAGAGCAACATTTCCTTGCCAAAAAATGACAAGTCTTTGAAAAACTTATGTCTTGGTTGAATACTCATCAAGACATTTTTTCAATGCCTTTTAAGAGGTGTTGCTTTCTTACTTTTTATAATTCCAATAATAAAATATTGTTATTGCTTGTAGCTATAAATTATTCTAATATATCTAGTAAACATCTGATGTTTCTACCTTCTCCATTATTTGATTTTAATTAGTGTATCAAACAGTTTAAATTAGATGTATATTTATGGTGTATGGTTAAATTGTATATACTTTTAAAGCTGACTCTGGTCGATATATTCTGGTAAAATAATTTGAAAAGATATCACCCACATCTTCTATTCCCATTAAAATGCATGTTACAGCCTCTGTAACGTTGTGATTCATCCCACAATTGAAGGCACCTTTAATATTACCAAACACTTTGATATATGCAACAATACACTTTAACCTTTAGTAGTAAAAGAAAGAGATATACCCTTACTTGGTACTTCCTGTTTGGATGTATGTGGGATAATCCAAGCTCTGGGTGAGTTTTGCTTGACTGAAAGTCTATAAAATCTCCTTGACATGAGTTTTTTTTTTTAATTATTATTGCTTTGACTTAGAAGCACAATCATTCTGCACTTAAAGGCAGCCATCATATGAAAGCAATAACTGTTGCATTTTGTCTTCAATTTAATTTCTTAAAATAAATTTGCTTCAACAATTACCAACAAGGTACATCTTGTTTCTGCATGTATTGAACATGCACAGAAGTGTTAAAATAAGCTCACACATAACGTGGCTCAATCCCGTAAAGTAAAATAAAAAATGTGATGCTCAGGGTACTGATACTGTAATACTGCTGGACAGTGAAGTGAGTGATTCTTACCTGGTAAAGGAGTTATTAAGGGTTACAAAGTTTGGTCTTAAAATATACTTGGCTATAGTGGCACATGTGTGAGGAGGAAGATTCTACTTTATTGACAAATTCTTAGCAAAGAGGCATATTTCACAGCTGCATCCAATGCTGTGCCCTTCTTTCTGGATTAGAGCTTTCACAGTGCTCTCCCCTACTGAGCATAGTTGGCTATAACACACAGAAGTCAAGCCTGAGATAACCAGTGTAGATATGACAACAAGTGGACATGTTTCCCAAGGACGGGGTTTTCATAAATGCAGGAAGGTTAGCACAACCACTGGTGTGAGGGGAAGTCAGAGGACGTGATCATAGTTCATGGGAACCAGCAATGCAGGATGGGCTACATTCAATTTAGTTTCCTTTGCAGGCTTAAAATAGAGCCATTGTAAATTATGTCAGTCTTTCTCAAATCATGAAAATGATTGTTAAAAAAAGTCTCAGAATACACAATGTGCATTGTTGTGTGGCTTTGATGTGTGAATGATGAGAGCATATGATATAATACCAATTAAATAATAGCAGGGCAGTCACAGGCTTTTTCCCCAAGGGGAGAGGCAATAAAGGTGAAGTTTCTGGTTGAGGATATTTTATTTTGTTTTGGTGCCTACAAAATAGAATTTTTAAGTACTCTAAAATTTGAAAGGGGTTCTTGTTGTGTTTTGTACGTAATGCATTTTAAGACTAATTTTCAACATTATATTAGTATAATAATTGTGTGGAGAATCAATGCATGATGGAATTTAACTTTTCATAAATATTTAAATACACAAATATTATGCAAAATATTGCACAAGGGGGTGACAAGATATATATATCTATATATATGAAATATTTGTGCTGCCTCAAGACATTTGTCAGGTTGGTTGCCTTGCTTTGGAATCTAGTGAAATGGGGTTTTCTGTGTTTGGAGCACCCAGATTGGTGCCTCCAATGTCTTTTACTGGCTTCCTAATTGAAATTTTGAGTAAACCAATTGTGATATTTGCTAAATTCAGAAGCAATTGACATAAAGCCTGAGATTCTTTTTTGTTGTTTGCACACAGGTGAGGTCTGCCATAAATCCTATACTCAGTTTTCAAACCTTTGCCGTCATAAGCGCATGCATGCTGATTGCAGAACCCAAATCAAGTGCAAAGACTGTGGACAAATGTTCAGCACTACGTCTTCCTTAAATAAACACAGGAGGTTTTGTGAGGGCAAGAACCATTTTGCGGCAGGTGGATTTTTTGGCCAAGGCATTTCACTTCCTGGAACCCCAGCTATGGATAAAACGTCCATGGTTAATATGAGTCATGCCAACCCGGGCCTTGCTGACTATTTTGGCGCCAATAGGCATCCTGCTGGTCTTACCTTTCCAACAGCTCCTGGATTTTCTTTTAGCTTCCCTGGTCTGTTTCCTTCCGGCTTGTACCACAGGCCTCCTTTGATACCTGCTAGTTCTCCTGTTAAAGGACTATCAAGTACTGAACAGACAAACAAAAGTCAAAGTCCCCTCATGACACATCCTCAGATACTGCCAGCTACACAGGATATTTTGAAGGCACTATCTAAACACCCATCTGTAGGGGACAATAAGCCAGTGGAGCTCCAGCCCGAGAGGTCCTCTGAAGAGAGGCCCTTTGAGAAAATCAGTGACCAGTCAGAGAGTAGTGACCTTGATGATGTCAGTACACCAAGTGGCAGTGACCTGGAAACAACCTCGGGCTCTGATCTGGAAAGTGACATTGAAAGTGATAAAGAGAAATTTAAAGAAAATGGTAAAATGTTCAAAGACAAAGTAAGCCCTCTTCAGAATCTGGCTTCAATAAATAATAAGAAAGAATACAGCAATCATTCCATTTTCTCACCATCTTTAGAGGAGCAGACTGCGGTGTCAGGAGCTGTGAATGATTCTATAAAGGCTATTGCTTCTATTGCTGAAAAATACTTTGGTTCAACAGGACTGGTGGGGCTGCAAGACAAAAAAGTTGGAGCTTTACCTTACCCTTCCATGTTTCCCCTCCCATTTTTTCCAGCATTCTCTCAATCAATGTACCCATTTCCTGATAGAGACTTGAGATCGTTACCTTTGAAAATGGAACCCCAATCACCAGGTGAAGTAAAGAAACTGCAGAAGGGCAGCTCTGAGTCCCCCTTTGATCTCACCACTAAGCGAAAGGATGAGAAGCCCTTGACTCCAGTCCCCTCCAAGCCTCCAGTGACACCTGCCACAAGCCAAGACCAGCCCCTGGATCTAAGTATGGGCAGTAGGAGTAGAGCCAGTGGGACAAAGCTGACTGAGCCTCGAAAAAACCACGTGTTTGGGGGAAAAAAAGGAAGCAACGTCGAATCAAGACCTGCTTCAGATGGTTCCTTGCAGCATGCAAGACCCACTCCTTTCTTTATGGACCCTATTTACAGGTAAGCGTGTATGGAAGATGACGAAATATGAGCAGATGTATGAAAGGCGGTATTTCCACTGTAAAGTGATGGCTTTTTAACACATCATTTTTACTATTATTATAAAACAGAGTGAAGTTGTTTGATCTAGTGAACTCATTTTTTATTCTGAAAGTTGGATCATTCTGTTTGAACTTATTTTTGGATGTTTCTGAAGTTGGGGGTTTGGAATAGGCCTACAGAATTTTTTTCCCTTGACAATAAATTTATTTTTAAACACTTTTTTTGGAGTGGAAAATATGGGAAAGTCATATTTAAAGTAAATTGTCAAGTGGCGGAAGAATGAGGATCCTGAAGGATTAATGCAAATATGCGTGGGTACTTAAATGGGTCAGGTTCTTTGGAATGGGGGGGATATCTAACAGCAAGAGTCCACTCTTTTTTGACCTACCAACACATCCTTAATAAGGGCTGGTCATATTGTTTCTAAATAAATCTCTCAGGAGCCCCCAAGTAAATGAAATATTAATCACAGAATATGTTTTGTATATAATATGAGTAGTTGGCTTAAAAAATGTCTCTGTTTAATAGCTTCATTATCCGGTTTCCTTTGATGTAGCAAAAAAATCTTGGGGTGAAACATACAAGTTTAATAAAAGGCCTTTTTGGCAATATTCAGTAATATTCACCTGACCAAAGTGATTTAGTTTTAAAATACTAGTTTTCTTTAAATGGGTATGAATAATAATATGTTTGTTACATATTTTGAATATTACAAACATTTTCACATTTACTTTCTCATTCTAATCTTGAACATTGTCAAGAGTTCATGGAACATCTGGATAATTTTTTATTGAACTTATTTAACATCGGAGTATTTTCATATTTTGCCTAATTCTCTTTCGTGAAGAGAAAATGTGCTATTATTTAATTCAACAATATTTATCAAGTTCATATTACTTAATAGGTACTAGAGCTGCAAGTTCTTCTCACTTACAATTCTTCTTCTATGTATATTATCTATAATGCGTTAACAAGGAAACACTGTCAGTATGGAAAGGACTACCCTCGTTTGAATATGATAAAGTAGTATCAAAGGACAATACAAAATAACTCAGTGCTGTCAGTACCAAGTTTGGCTGCTTTTTAAAATTATTATATCTCAATTAGTTTGGCAGTCCTGTTACCAGAGAAGGAAAAAAAAGAAAAACATGTCTTCCGTGTTTTGTGTGTAGATTGTATGTCACACATTTCGGGTAAAGTCGTATTTCCAACTCAATGATGTGTCTCAGTCCTTTGTTAAGATAATTTTTCAGGCTTTCCTTTTTGTACCCTCTCAGTAGCAACTGGCTTCTGATTCTTCCACATATCTCTTGCACTCATCCTCATCACCTACTAGCATTCCTCTTACTCACTGTGATCTCCAACATCTCTCTGGTGCTTGTCTCAATTAAGACCTAGGCCTGTCATTTTGCCAAACTCATGAAAGACCTAGAATCCAGTTTTAGTGTCAGACTTGGGTTGCAACCTCAGCCTTCTCATGTCTGAGACTTAAAAAAAAAGCATAAAATGGATATAACATCACCTACTTCAAAAAGTGAAATAGTATATGCAACACACATATATCACATATATAATATCAATAAGTGGTAGGTATTTTATTCTGCTTTAAGAGTGCACATATCTAAAAGTTTTTTTAATTACCAAGTTGGTAAAAGAAATTAATTCAATGAATTAATTCAACATAGGGATATTATTTCCCTATGTGCTTAATACAAAATAGAATGGCAAACATTTCTAAAGCAGAAGGGATATATAGGTAAGTTTTATGTGTCTCTCTCTATCTTCAGAAAGCTCCCCATTCTCTTCTCACCACACCCATTCTATCTGCCTGCCTTCTTTATCAGCAGTGGCATCCAAAGAGCATATATTCTCTCTCTCTCTCTGAATATATATTAAATATAATTTACATAAAATATTTATATATCAATATATTATGCTATATGTTTAAATATAAATATATATTGAGAGAGAGAGAACCTCAAAGAGTGGCTAGCAGTGTATATGCTTGGAAATGCCCTTACTATTATTGACAAATATGGAAGGAATAAAGTGCACATTTGGGAGAACACCTTCTTGGTAGAAAATTGCTCTAATATTCAAAATCAGCCTTGACCTCATGATTTCAAAATCATTAAGCATTCTTGTCTACATTTGGAATGGAAAGGTACTGAATTCATGACAAATGCCTCTAATTTAGTGACTCCTTATTTTTCATGTTTTCTCGTTATTCCTATTCCTAGTCATTCAGTAGGGTTTTTCCATTATAAATAGGAACTTTTCTTCTTAAGCACCTAGAAGTGTCATGAGGAATCTCCAAGAACTGGACAGATGTCTCTATAGTTTTATGAGTGCGCTTCCCAGAAACCTACCATTGACTTTATTGTTAGTTCCTTTAAATGTCAGTGATTATGTAGTGATTGATATGTGAGACTGCTTCATCTCCAAAATCTAATTTTAACCTTTCAGAGTAGAGAAAAGAAAACTAACTGACCCACTTGAAGCTTTAAAAGAGAAATACTTGAGGCCTTCTCCAGGATTCTTGTTTCACCCACAAGTAAGTATTTTGGATTTGAGATTTCCAGCTTGTAAACTAACTTGTTGATCCTGAAAAGCAGGTGCAATGAAATGAAAGACATCTTGAGAACATTAGGATTTCCTATGACGCTGGTGTGGAAGAACACAGGAAATTCTAGCAGAATTAAAACCCAAACTCTTTAAAGAAAAATTAGTTAATATATGTGTAAAAATAACATGATTTCAGTGTTAAATGATTGTCTGCTATTAACTGTTTATTGAGTTAAAGTGCATTTTGGAGTGAGCAGGATTCAGTTAAGAAAATAAATATCCAAGATGTGTTTTGTGTGTGGTGGTTGCTGATACTAAGAAATAGATCATACTGTGACTCGTCCCATACTCATGAAGGTCATTCTTGTTCTTTTCGGGCTTAGATAAAAACAGGAAATGAGTCTACCTGACAAGTTGTTACCATAGAGGGTGAAGGAATTTATCTAGAGACCACTGAGCATTCCAGCAAAGCTCTGTAATTGCACAAGAATTCACCACAATGCACAGTGCTATTTGCAGAATAGAATTGTGTTCATTTATCAAAATATATACAGTTTATCATTGCAAGGAAAATGCAAAGCAGCACTATCTCTAATTGGTTCATCCTAAAGTCCTTATACATTTAGTAATTTTAAAAAACAGGTTTACATATTTTCCACCATGTGGAAAATCGTATTGAAAGAACAAATACGGTATATAAACATCTTGAATGTGGTTTCTTAATTTAAAATTTATTTTACTTTTGTTTAAAGGATGCAAGCTCTGGTCTTTATAGATAGCAACATTTTAATAAAAATTCTTAAAAATAGAATAAACTAATTTGTTCTGTTGTAATATGTTCAAACAAAAAATGATGGTTCTCTAATAAAATCAGGGGAAGTTTATGCAAGCTGTCTTATGGAAAGCTATGAGGTAATTAAATTAATTAAATAAAGATCATGGGATATGGTTCTTTTTTCCTTTTCCTTTCTGTTACCTCTTTTGTATTTTTTCAAGTATCTTTCTAGAGTCCTGAATAAAGAGTATGAGAGTTGTAACACAATCTTCTGGGTTAGTTGGATAAATCTACTATTACTAAAGAACTCTCACTCCCTTTCAAAATGAGATAATATGTGGTTTAGCAGTAAAAGTTTCAGAAACATTCCAGTTAGTATTAATTTTATATAGGAAGATTAAAGAATGTTACTCACATAATTACTTTATGGAAAAGAAGTAAGTTACAAAACAGTTAATGTTTATCGGGACTATATTTTATATTTAGACTGATCTAAATAGTACTTGTAAAGTTTCATAGGCTAATAAACTGGAATGTAGCACATATTTTGTGTCAGATATTGTACAAAAAGTACATCTCTCTTGATACTTCCTTTATAATTATAAATAAATACTTATGAACATATAATATTCATGTATACATTAATGTTACAAAAATTAATTACAGTAATATTAATTACAGTAGTCAAGTGATTTTCATGTTCTGATAATCTTTACAATTTAGTAATTAACCATTTCAAAATTGAGTGCTATGGGTTCACGGTAGAATGGAGAAAAACCAAAAAGGGATTCAGTGTCTTTGAACATCTTAGTCTACCTGGCTCTTAGTTTTCCTGTTTGAAAAATGAGAGAGTCGGGTGTAAGGTTTCTATCCACTTTGAAATTCAAAGATGTTTTGCTAACTAAGGTAAATTTACCAGTTCATAAGATGGGCAGTTTTGTCAACCATTCATTCTGTATGAATTCGCAGCTGTTAGCAATGTAGTAGGTATATATTTTAAAATAAAATCATAAGAGAGCAAATATGTTATATTTTAACATTCCCAAAGTTAATTAAGGATCACAAAAGATGAGGCATGTGTCCAGTGCTTCGAGCATAGCAGTCATTCCTCAGATCTTCACAAACACGCCTGTGGGAGCACAGTGGCAGTGATTCCCTCCTACACCAGAATGTCACGTCTTGGTGTAAGGGATTCCCTATTGCTGCATGTTGCTATTAGAACAGGACCCAAGAGTGGTGATCAAAATACTTAGAACCTGATGCGTCATGAATACCTACCAATCGGAATGGATTTCTGCCATTCTGGAGCAGGATACTGGAGGCTTTTGCTGCATCAACTGCCAATGTTTTATTTGCTGGATAGTGGGACTATCTGAGGGGTGTTTGGGGAAGAGGCCAAGGAAGCAGGGGAACACTCAGGGTGCTTAGGGCAAAGGCTATTTACCGACTATTACAGAAATATTTCATTGTTTTTATAAATATCATGGCTGTTTTCTTGTGTCATGCTATATATAGCTGGGATACAAGCTGGGATACAGGTGAGCCCTCTTCCTCTTTCATCAAGTCTTACCCTTCCCAGGGTAGCTGGAAGAGCTGGCATTTATGTACGCAACATATTTAGCATTGTGCTTGGCATGTGGAAGGACCTAAATGAGGAAGAGCTCTTATTAGTGGGTGCAAAAGCATTTTATTATAAATATAAATATTTATGCCCAATTTCTTTGCCAGGGCCATGCCATGTATCTAGGAGTGCTTGAAAAGATGCTTATTGTATTCTTGGCATGACCTCACTGCAGAAGTAAGGGGGGCACAGATCAAGGAGCCAAAACAGAATGACTTGCCTCTGTTCTTAGTGCTTGTTATGATTTCATAGCTAATGTGCTTGCATAAAACTGTTCATTGCTTCATTTTCCATTTAAGTATATTGGAGTAAATCACATGGACCCTCTCAGCATCTGGATCTTCATTTCAAAATGGGAATAATATCTGCCCTATTTCTTGGGTTATCATAATAATAAAGGGAGGATCAAATTCTCAATGTTTTAGGGAAAAGAAAGAAGGATGCTTCATAGTGGTATTCTCTGGGCAAGTCTGGTTTTACAATTTTTGAATATCTTTATATTGTTCCCAGCATATTCCTTCCCATTCCATAATTCCTAATCAGTGATAAGTGAACACCTCAGTAAATAAAAATATATTGAATTTTATTGAAAGATTATTAGGCTATATTATTGCGTTTTGGAATAATACGTATTTTAAAAATTCTGTCAAAAATACTTAGAAGAGGCCGGGTGCGGTGACTCATGCCTGTAATCCCAGCACTTTGGGAGGCCGAGGCGGGCGGATCACCTAAGGTCAGGAGTTCAACAGCAGCCTGACCAACAGAGTGAAACCCCTTCTCTACTAAATACAAAAAAATTTAGCCGGGCGTGGTAGCACATGCCTGTAATCCCAGCTACTTGGGAGGCTGAGGCAGGAGAATCACTTGAACCCAGGAGGTGGAGGTTGCAGTGAGCTGAGATTGTGCCATTGCACTCTAGCCTGGGCAACAAGAGTGAAAGTCCAACTCAAAAAAAAAAAAAAGATACATGAATGCATACATCAAAATTAAAAGATGAATGCTGAGGGTCTAAAGTCTTCTCTTAGTTCAATTCTTGAAGAAGCATGTTTGCTCTATCAGGCCAGGTGAGAACTATTTAGTCTTCTAGTTTTCTTTTACAAATAAGTTAGTTTACTCTAAGGGAGAAATAAGCGTTGTAGAGGCTTCCCCTGCATATGTGATTGAAAATTATTTATGGTCACTGTAATTTTGAAAAGGAGTTGAATGGCCACAAATAGGTAAGATGCAGGGAATGTTATTACTGTGTGACCTCTGAATGTCCATTTCGTTTGTTCCTATTTTGGATCCTTTGCATTCACACTGATAGCCCATTTGAACATCCATGGAAGTCATTTTGCAATTACACTATTGTAAAAGTGGCTATTATTCCTTGGTTTGATTTTACTATACTTTTAATATTATTTTTGGTTATTTGCACATTTTATTTCCAAATGTTTGGCTTTGAGTACATCTGCAACAGACTCTCTTTTACTTACATTTCTATCCTTTCTTCATTCTTTTATATTTTCTTTCTTTTAAATTGGCTGATTATCATGCTACTACATTCCAAGGAACTGAGGAGACAGTCTTTTCCTAAGTTATAATTTACACATTGATGTGAAAAATCACTTAAATCTTCTGTTCTTCATCTTCTATTTTGCTTTCAACAAGTGTTTCATATGGTTAGATTTCTTCTGCAATCAAGTTTTCATCCTTTAAAAACTACATATATTCCTTATTAAATATACCAAAACATGTATAAGCAAAATATATATCTCCTTTAACCAAGCAAAATGATATTTTTAAGCGTATATAACTTTTGTGTCTCCTGGAAGAGCTTCTAACCCACTGAAGGTTTTCCCAGTGACTCTTGTCAGAATTTGTCATTAAGAGCTAGATCTTTTTAGTTTTCCATTAACGTTCTTAACTGTTCTGACTACTGATGGTCTGAGTCCTATGCTAATAAAAATCAAGTAGTGAATTTCCAAGTACATTATCCTTTCATTATCCTTTTGTTATTTAGTGATTCATATTTGAGTAAATATCTTTTCTTTGTTATTAACATTATACAAATGCAAGAGATTGGATTTTTACAGGAAATGGCCTAATTTTTAGTAATTAAACTAAGTTTAAGGATATTGTTTTATAGCAAGTAGTAGTTAATAAAAAGGAAGCATCTGCTTTGCTGTAAGATTTGCTAGTAGGTAGCATTTAGCTTTCTTGTGGAAATTAACCTTGATTCAAACATTCCATTTAGGTAAACAGAGGAAATTCAACAGAGTTATAACAATATTTAATTTTTATTTCCAAAGCTTTTACTCAAGGTACAGTTACATGATAAGCAAAAATTACTAAGTTAGTACAAATGTTAATTTCTCAAAGGATAGATTGCAATAAAGATACCAACACAGAAGTAATTTTTTGTTTTTGTTTCAATTTTGCTCCCAGTTCCAACTGCCTGATCAGAGAACTTGGGTAAGTTTCCTACTTATATTTTTGACTAAAGTGATGTAGCATTAAAAAGAAAACAGCTTACATTCTAAATTGCTGTACAGACATAAATAATTCTGAACCCCTTTCCATTACGTGATATGGTTCCAGCAGATAGTTTCCCTGCTTTCTCAAGCTGCATTCTTTCAGTTATAATTGGGCATTTAGTGGGATAGAAATTGTTTACAGAATGATTTTATTCGATAAATCTGATGCATTCCACATAATTATACCTTGATACGGAGCTCTTTCTGGACACCTGGGAACACGCTGTTAAACGAGGCTTCGAAATGGGTCACTAAGTGAAAACAACCATTATTTGGTGGAGCCTGTATCAGCATGTAAAGATGCTTTTGATAAAGCCTTCTAAAGGATAAAACCTGAACTCCTGTGTAGATACAGGCTGACATGGGAATTCACATCTATATATCCTAGGGCAGAAATTGGTTCTGGCTATTTGAAGATATAAAACTAAATGTTTACAAATTCATGTGTAACTAGTGAATGGATCTTTTAGCATCTAGTTTCACTTCCTTGACTTTCAGTTACTATTTCCAGATCCAGTCAGTTTCAATTAATAATATTAGGGGATAGCTTTATTTTTATTGTGGAAGATATTCAGGATACAAAGAATACTGCTTATTTAGTTTTTACCCCCAAATAAAACCTGGTCAGTGGAAATAACATATAGTTAAAAATATTCTCTAAGTATATGTGTTTTTGTTTCTCTTTTTCACTGAAAATTATGCTGATTTCTGATGAATGAGCAAAATCTTGGGATATAGTTTAGCTGTCCTTTTAAAGTCACTGAATCATTATATATAAACTTAATTGAAGCATTTTAGCACTAACCTATTTCCTCTATTTGATGTTAATTTTTCTTTATGAGAAATTCCTTCATTTTATCTCTTTTGTGGAATATGTAAAATTGTGATTTTTCTCATTCTGATAGACTTTTAAGGTTTAAGTTTATTTCAAATGTACACAAATATTTATGGAGAGAGAGGAAGAGAGATCAACCCACTAACTTAGGCAAAGTTGTGCAATAGATGGGGTTGTTTTCTGATTATCCTGGCCTACATTTCCAGTATTCTTCCTTTGCCTTTCCTGGTAGAGATCTGTCTTGAGTATTGTGCCTCACGGTCCTCATCTTTTCTAAGGTACAGTATGACTTTGACAATAGCTCTCTTGTTAGGTGGTTGAAGCTTAAGGTGTTGACCCCTTACATACATGGCCAATGATTGTACCAACTTACCAAGGCAATATAGATTTTAAGTTAAACTACCTTTTCTTATAATACAACAGCATAGTGATTGCCGTTGCAATGCTTTGAAACATTCCCATTCCATTGAGTCACAGGTTTTTCAGAGATGTGATTTACATTTGTATTATAAAACAGATATTAGTAGGAAATATTAAAGATATATGTTTATAATTTTTCGTGGTAAAAAAACCTCTATGTGGATTGTTTGTAACACAAAGGATACATGCTTGAGGGGATGAATATTCCATTCTCCGTGATATGATTATTTCACGTTGTATGCCTGTATGAAAACATCTCATGTATCCCACAGATATATACACCTACAATGTACTCACAAAAATAAAGAAAAAACTAAGTGATTTCATAATCATGACTGCTGAATGTGATACATGGAGTGGGATAACCATAAAATAGGAATATTTACTTCTCCCCCATATGACCATGATTTTGAGATTTCTCAAGATTATCAAGTGAATAAATATAGAAAATCACCAAATCTACAAACTTTCCCATCATAAGTTATTTATGAAAAGTTAGTTATTTTATGATAAAGTCATGTGTAATCGAATTTGTAAAACATTAGGTCACATAATTCATGGTGTTGTTGGACATATCATTTCATATAATCAGGTTGTCACTTTAATAGTTTTAATGAGAAACCTTTTTGTCATCAATTATTGGCTGCCAGATAATAAATGTTAAGTGCTTAGGACCCAGTTGATAATATCTTGCCTGCTGAAATGTTTTTAAAAATACTAACTTTATTTGACTAGAGAGATAGCTACATTTTTTGGTAGGAGCTAGGGAATTGTGTCTAAATATTAGTTTGCGTCAGTATAAAGTTAATAGCCTCTTGGGGACTGGAACAGGGTGAAATGACTTCCTCTTCCAGACATCTGGCTGCAGATAACATCAACTATTATATATGTAAATAAAAATTACTGTTCCATAGGAAAAAAACTGTCATTTACTGATCTTAGATTAGCCTATGACATTAATGGATCACAGGGTAATATATTTTTAAAATATATGATCTAATTTTACCCCTTTGATTTCCCCATTCTCAGCAAATTTCTTATTCCTAGTAGTACATATTGCTCTTTTCATTTGATTTTTTCATAATTTAAAAACATATAGCTAGATTCTGTTCCATTTATTCCAATTTATCTTGATTTTTAAAATTTAAAATGAATGTCAAAACTTACTATTTCTCCTGCAAAAAAGTGTTACTTTTGGAGGAACATCACGTGACTCAGACCAGATAGCAAGAGAGAGTTGGGGTTTTGATCTGTGCACTCAATAGAGTTCGTGTTAATCCAATATCTTAATCTAAGGTGTTGACTAGGGCTGATGTTGATCACAGAACTGCCAAGTTACCCCAACTAGCAGATGTCTGAGTCACTTCTGTTTATCTTAATGTGGAAACTTATTCTTTTCAACTGAGGTCAACTGCTATAAGAGCACACATTAGGAAGATGAAAAGAAGGATTCAACGAAGGCTTTTATGTTGCTTCAGTGGTTGCTGGCTGGGCAGAAAATGTTTTGTGTACGTGTGTATGTGTGTTAATAGTTACCCTCAGCTCGCTTCCCATCGTCTTTCCCTCCCTTTCCCCACTCCAATTTAATCCTCTTTTCATTTGACACCAGAAGCCAAAGGTGGGGGAGGCTTGTAAGACACTTGCGTAACCCTTATTCTTTTTCCTATTACCTTTAAGAATGTCATTATTTAGCCATCAAGCCCATAATATATTTTCTTGTTTCTTGATGGTTTTCCCAAATCGAAACAGTTTGAGGTAAAGTAATCACAGTGATCTTTCTTCAAAAGGAGCTAGCTATTAGCAGCTACTAAAGCAAGACACATTTCTCAACAGCCAATTGCTCTCAAATAACTTGAAGGACTTGTGGTTTATGTGTGCTGAAGATGAAAGCCGAGAATAATAGTCATGAGTAAGCTATTTTCCATATAAAAGGAAACGTGTTTCTATGAGATGTTTTGTTGCAGGAGTCTGAGTATGTCAGCAAGATGGACACTCAAATGATTTAAAACCACTAGATAATGAAATTTTACTTAAATATTAAATGTACATAAATAAAACATTTATAATCATTACCCATGCATTAACTGTTCTTCCCAATAAATGTGTGTGATCATGACCCTTACCCATGCTTGTTAGTAGTACTAATCAGTTTAAAGGCCAGAGTTCATTTTTCACTCAGAAAACTTATTTCTTGCTGGGTGGAATATCAAAATGATTTTCTGCAAGGAACAATTAGAAGGAATAAATGCAAATACAAGAGTATCATAAAATATTTCTGGATTGATTTTTTAACAAATAAATCCAAAGTAACATGGACATGCTAATGCTCTGTCTAGAAGGGAATAATGACCATATTCTGCAGAGACAGAATTTCCTCCAACCTCTGTGAGCAGCAGCATCATTCCATATCTCTGCCCTGTGATCAGTATGTGTCAAAATCCTTCATAGTGACAAATGTGCTGTCCACTTGCATCTGTGGAGAATGTTTTAGCAGCTGAGTGATTATGAATCAAACCCCTGAGCTTATAGCCCTTACTGCCTCCCGATGCGTTCACATTTGTCGTCTGACAAGTAAATGTATCTTGACTTTCCTCTGAGATTTTTTTGTACCGTGTTTGATGAAAGACATTTGGCAAATTGGCAGTAGTACCCTGTACGTTGCAATTTGTAGCTAACATTAGGAGTCCGGGCATGAAATGAGAGGGCAGGCTCCAGGATAAAGGGGGAAAAAAGAGAACTAACTAGAACATGAATAGTCACTTGAAGAATCAAACACACAATATTCCTTTTGTGAGAAGAGATCATGTTCAGGCCATGCTGTTAAGACTTTGCTCTACTTTAAGAAGCTGATGGTATTCTGTCCAGCTGTGTGTCCACAGAATATATGTCTTGTTAATTTTTCCTTCTGAGTAGGAAATGTTGCCTTTTATTTTTAACTTGAGCTCATAAATTAGGCCTCCATCTCTGTCCTGCTGTCTCATTAGCAAAAGGATAGTTTCTTGGGTTGACCAGTTGTTTGAATTTGCAGTGATCATCTCAGTTCTTATGTGTCTTCTGGTCTAGCATCACAGCTCTTTGAGATTTTTATGTAATGCATATAGAATGCAAACACCTTTTAAAATAGCTTCTTGAGCTTTCTAATGGCACACTGCCCTGAGAATCAAATAAATAATGGGTGAGTTGATTTAACAGGATGGCCTGAAAGTTTGTTTTTCTACTTAAAAATTCAGTAATAAGCAGCTTCCAAATAAAATGTGAGCCCTGAGGAAACACAACATGTTGAGAGGGTCAAAGGAAAGGGGAGAGTCCCTCTGGCTGTGGAGCTTAAGAATCAAGCTAAGACTGGGCACAGTAGCTTATGCCTATAATCCCAGCACTTTGGGAGACCGAAGCAGGTGGAAGGATTGCTTGAGACCAGGAGTTCAAGACCAGCCTGAGCAACATAGTGAGACTCCATCTCTACAAAAAGTTTTTAAAAAACAGGGATCAAGCCAACTTTAAAAGTAAATGCCATCTTCTGCTTGTGACTCTCAAATAAGTGTGCAGGTGTACAAAAACTTGAAGATTATAAACAACAAAAATTAGATTACTAGAGGGGAAGAATTAGGCAGGGATAGTTTTCTTTCAAGAATGTTTCTCGAAAAGTGTGGTTACATAAACTGCTCCCCCTGTCTTACAAGGCACATGCCAAGTTATGTTATATGAAATTATATTAACATATGATGAACTGTCATTTCAACTTAGTCTTTGTCTTTGATAAAATTAATATTTAATCAAAATTCTTTGTATATGATCCTACATAAAAATATGGCATATCCAGATGTTAATTTAATGTAGTCTTAGGCAATACCCTCCTATACATTTAGTTTTTTCTTTCTGAGTTACCCATATTTGGCTTAAGCTGTAATTCTGTAATACTTCATGTTCTCCCATGCTTTCAGTTCTTTTCTTGGGACTGCATGGTTCTTACGGTTTTCATTGCCTAGGTAAGGCATATAGCAACTTTTCCTATAATTTCCGTTATGTTAATATCCATACCATGATACTAATGCTGTCATTTAATCAAATAAAAAGTTAACTTGGCTTTATTGGCTCTCTTATGTATTTCAATGTTCAATTATATATCAGATTATGATAAAATGGCCTAACCAAGGTCTTATGGAAAAAGTTCGCTCAGCATTTTATAAGCTTGGTTCTACTTATGGTATTTCCCAAATAAATCAATTCTGTTGTTGTTTATTTAATATTGGGATACTACAGTCTCTTTCTACAACCCGTCGCAGATTTCATGCTTCCCTTTTAATGATGTCCTTGGTTTGCCAGAGATTATTATAGAAGACAAGATGCCAAACGCTTCATGGTCTTGTGCTTTTACCTTTCAGATGTCAGCTATTGAAAACATGGCAGAAAAGCTAGAGAGCTTCAGTGCCCTGAAACCTGAGGCCAGTGAGCTCTTACAGTCAGTGCCCTCTATGTTCAACTTCAGGGCGCCTCCCAATGCCCTGCCAGAGAACCTTCTGCGGAAGGGAAAGGAGCGCTATACCTGCAGGTAACTGCACAGTTAATTATGGCTGACTTTCCAGAAATCTCCCCTCTGATTTCAAAAGGTCTTGCTGTTTGTTTTGGAAATTATTCCTGATTAGATGATTAATAGCCACCATAATAGATCTCCAGCACTTCAAAGTGTTCTTCATTTAGTGAAATATAAAAATAGTGTTTTTAAAAAATTATTAAATGTGAATTTTAACACAGGACATTTGGTTGTGATAAATGAGGTTGGAAACAATCCAAATACTATCTACTTGTCTCACTTTGATATTTATGAATTTTCTTTCACAATTAATTATTTTCATCTAAAGGTATACTACTACTGTCCTCAAGCATATATTTATTAATTGTCATGGCATTAAAGAATAAGGCCATTAATTAAAGAGAAGTAAGGTCCATAAGTGAATAAAACTAGCTAGTAAATTTTTTGTTACTCATCAGTAGTAAAGCTTATTTTATGTTTCTGGTTTTGTGTGTGATTTTTTTTTGCTAAATAAATTGTGCTTATAATTTCTGAATCATCTTTAGAAATGTGTAGGTATTTGACTCAGGCATATCACTTTATCTTCTCTTTGAAAAATATGTCACTTTCTTTCCAGAAATAAAGCTTTTATGGGTACATACCTTGATGGATGAAGTCTCAGGATTTTGTCTGATCTGATACCACTCTATGCATAGGGAGTTATCACTGTGGCTGACATGTAAAATGAGTTGAAACATTTGAAATCTGTTTACATCAACCCAGAATCAGAAACTCTTATCATATTTTTATCCCCTTATCTGGTTCAATTTTGTGAATGTAAAAATATTGAGTTAATAAGAGAGATGTATAGGAGTAATCAAAACTAAAGTCTATTTTCATAAATTGCTTGCTTATAAGTGAACAAATTCAACCAGATCTTAGAATGCAGTCTTTATTTGTAGAGTTATTTATATTAATATCTGTGAAATGGCTTTGTTGTAAATTTTAAATACCAAAGAAATGTGAGTTCCATGCAAGATTAATTGAATCAGGAATAAGCATCTGGCTGCTGTGTGGCATGAGTGAAATATAGTCAACTGTGCTGACTTTCTCTTATAAACATCTTTTCATAACAGATACTGTGGCAAGATTTTTCCAAGGTCTGCAAACCTAACACGGCACTTGAGAACCCACACAGGAGAGCAGCCTTACAGGTCTGACAATGATATTTGCTAAATATCTTGATAAATATTGTAATAATTAAAGTTTATTTTAATAATAAAATAATAATTAAAGTTTATAATAATTAAAGTTTAAATTTTATGCGTGTCTGAATATATGTCTATTCAATTTTGAGTCAAGAAAGAATTGACTAATGGCTAGGATCAAAATTAGAAGAGTTCCAGTTTCTTTAATCAAGGCTTCCTACCTCTCAGTTTAAAAGTTCTAGCACAGTGTCTAGGACAGAATAAGTACTTAAGAAATGCTAGCCATTTTAAATATTATTTTTTATTATCATTTGTTCTCTTTTCTCAATAATTAGGATGATCTTAATTGACAAAAATCATAACTTTGCAGCCTTCCTTTTCCAAGCCTCAAATCTCTGCTAGGAGTTAATAACCCATATGTACTTTTTTTCCCCCAGCACAGCTAAGTCATTTTCCATGGATTCCAATAGGAGGTTTAAAGGATAGATTTTAGGCTGGGCATGGTGGCTGACGCTTGTAATCCCGACACTTTGGGAGGCAGAGGCAGGTGGATCCCTTGAGGTCAGGAGTTTGAGATCAGCCTGGCTAACATGGTGAAACCCTGTGTCTACCAAAAATACAAAAATTAGCCAGGTGTGGTGGCTCACACCTGTAGTCCCAGCTACTTGTGAGACTGAGGCAGGAGAATCCACTGCACCTGGGAGGTGGAGGTTGCAGTGAGCCAAGATTGCACCACTGCACTCCAGCCTGGGTGACAGAGTGAGACTCTGTCAAAAAAAAAAAAAAAAAGAAAGAAAGAAAGAAAGAAAGAAAAAAAGAATAGATCTTAAACCTGGGAAGTCAGGGGAGAAGAAAATATGAAACTAGAGGTAGGACAGATAAAATAGAGTATATTATAGAAAAACGGGCAATTTTATCAATAATTTCCTAAATTACCTCTTAGTTTATTCTATTACATGCCAAAATTAGTCATATGACACATTGGACACATCTAATTTTAATATTGTTTAGAAAGATTAGATTGAAAATAGACAACATTACTCTTTCCAATTTTAAAATATAAACTACATTATTTAATGTTCAATGCCTTGCACACAGTATTAGTTACTCGTAAATATTTCTTCAAAGAATGAATATTATACAACTTAAGTAATATCATAATGTCATTCTCCTTTGAAATTCTTATACATTGCATGTATGCAAAATTATTTTTTCCTGAGTGCTAAGTTTTTCTATTAAAACAAAAAGTAAGTTATTTATCAGATTTCAAATATTTTTTTAATGGTAAAATAAGAAAATGGGTCATTTGAGGATAATTGAAATCTTAGAAGAAAGCTAGAGGGAGCTAAACTTAAAACATCAGTTTTCTCAAATTCCTTGCTTTCCTACCTGTTTTATAAATCACTAATTATAAGTGATATATTTCCAATTTATACATGATAGAATGCACTTGATATAACAGGTCTCAGAGAGATGTAATACTGGGAAGTTTTAGATGATTTCCCCTTTTGAGAAAATTATATTACCAGAAATTCTGCTTAAGTGGAAGGAAAGGTTTCCACACTCATGTTTTGTTATGGCAAGAGTACTGGAAACTATGTTATCACGTTCATTTTACTCTTTCTTTGTACATAAATTTCAATGGTTTTATTCCACCCAATAATGGCTCTATTATTGTGCATATATATTTTTTTAAACCACAAACCAGCATTTTGGTATAGCTGGAGAGCTTACACAATTATTTGTCCAGCCCCTCTGGGTTTTTTTTTTTTTTTTTCCTTGCAGAAGAATTCCAATGAACAGTGTAGAAAAAATGAGGAAAACAAAATCACAAGTAGGACACCACAATAATAACTGCTACAGGGAAGATCAATTGAATGTTAAAATGAGTGGATATAGTGAACTAGATAGATTTTATAGTTTAGTTAATGTATCAGTGTTGGTTTAATAGTTGTGACAAACGTACCTGAAACATATTAACAATAGGGGAAAATGGGTACTATGTACTATCTTTGCAACCTTTTAATAAATCTAGAACTCTTCTAAAATGATAAGTTTATTTAGGCCAAGTGTGGTGGCTCATGCCTACAATCCCAGCACTCAGACAGGCTGGGGCAGGAGGACCACCCAAACCTAGGAGTTGAAGACCAGCCTGGACAACACAGCGAGACCCCATCTTCAAAAAAAGAAAAGTTTATTTAAAAAATAAAAAATTAGTGAGTGAAAGTTTAAAGAGGATATTTGCACAGCCCCAAAATATCTTCTGCAAAATATTTGTTAATTAGAAAGAGAAAAAGTAATAACCTTATAATGGACAAACCTGGCAGATACTACCTTATCCAAATGATCAGGGTTAACAATGCCAGAAGTTAGACATGTCAGCATCATGTACCCTTGATAGGATGCACTGAGAGGGCATATTGCCTCTGTGCTATTTTCCCCCAAAATTTATAACCTCACTCTAATAATGAGAAAATATCAGACCAACCCAAATTAAGGAAAATTCTACCAAATTCCCAATCGGTATTATTCAGAAGTGTCAGGGTAATTAAAGGCAAGGAAAGACTGAGGAACTGTTAGAGACTGTAGAAAACTAAGGAGACATGACAGCTAAATGCAATGTGGGATCATAGATCAGATCCTGGAACAGAAAAAGAGCACTGGAGAAAATTGGTGATATTAAAATAAAGTCTGTATTTTAGTTAATAGTATTGCATCAATGTTAATTTCCTAGTTTTAATGAATGTTAGGTAAGATGTTAACATTGGAGGAACTGAGGTGAAGGGTATATGGGAACCCTTTGTACTATCTTTGCAAGTCTTCTGTAAGTCTAAAATTATTTCAAAAAGAAAAAATTAAAAAAAGTAAAATGGTATGTAAATGATACATGAATTGTCTGCTTCCTGTGGCTGACCTGTGCCTTCTGGAAAGTTCTATTAGGTTTTAATACTTTATGTAGTAAAAGTTAAACATGGTCCCTATGTAGAAAATTATCTCTTCAGAAAGATAAATACCAGTAGACCACAAGCTCCTTGACAGTGGAATCCACCTTTTTTTTTTTTTTTTTTTTTTTATATAGACAGTAGGTCTCACTCTGTTGCTCAGGCTGGTTTTGAACTCCTGGCTTCAAGCAGTTCTCCCACGTCAGCCTCCTGATTCTTAGCAGGAGAAGGGATTATAGTATAGGCAGGTGCCACCATGTCCCGGAGAATCCATATCTTACTCATCTCTGTGTCCTTGATGCATCAGCCCCTCTGTTTTACAAATGAAAAAATTCAGATTTACATATGCTAATTGCCTTCCGCAAAGTCTGCTACTAATAGAGTCAGGATTAAAACCCAGGCCCAGAGCTCTCACTTCAGCGTTTTTATTTTACATCATGATCTCAAAGGCTCGTCTGACCTCCATGTCTACATCCAATAACTAGGAAGGCTTAATAGTATACTGCCCATGACTGTGTTATGTGTTCGTTTTAAGAATTTCTAAAACTTAGGCTCTTATTGGAATTGTGTAGAAGGAAGTGATTTTTTTATTTAGAACATTCTTTTTCTGGCCAAGACTTTAGCAGAGGAGAGATAGAAAGTAACAACTGATCATTGGTTAGAACATGCTTATTTAGATTTGAGAAGATGGTGCTTACTAGATTTGGAAAAGACCCTTTGTGTGCAAGCAGAAAGTTAGAAGCATGGCAGAAACATAATCTCTCTTCCTCATGATTTGTGTAGAAAGTGTTTTGGGTGAAAAATTTTTTCTAAAGTGTTTTGTGGGAGTACGTTTACTGTAACAGGGTTTTCTAGGTTATTCTGCTAAGCACAGAATAAATTGTGCTAAATATAGCATGGTTCTCATTGCAGTGGGCCTTGGAGGTAAACAGAGTTATTGCAGAGAAGGTCATAACTTTATACGCATTTAAAAAAAAAAAAAACTGGGGCTAAAATATTACAACTACCATAATGTGGGGTTTCACACAATTTTTATTAATATCGTAAGTGAGGAAAGTTGAAGAAGCTTATTATGCCAGAACAGTTTTTTAAGGGGGAAAAATCAAATCAGTACTTGTGTTGGTTTAGTGATACTATGCCAAAGTAACTAGTTCAACAGATTATTTTTCCTACTGAACTGACTAGACTTCTGGCATCACATAAGGACAACCACAGAAGCCCAAGAACTCTAGTGGAATGGGGTGACTTCTGCTTTAGAGCACTTGAACCACTGACTCTGCATTCAGAAGTGGGAGGAGAAGGGCCCTTCACACATGGAAGGATGAGTTAAGAATTTTCTGTCCTCTAAGATTGAAGTTTTCATTTATAAGTCATTTGGAGGCTGGACGCGGTGGCTCACAACTGTAATCCCGGCACTTTGGGAGGCTGAGGTGTGTGGATCACTTGAGGTCAGGAGTTCGAGACCAGCTTGGCCAACATGGTGAAACTCTGTCTCTACAAAAATACAAAAATTAGCCGAGCATGGTGACACGTGCCTGTAACCCCAGCTACTCGGGAGGCTGAGGCAGGAGAATCGCTTGAACCCAGGAGGCAGAGGTTGCAGCGAGCCGAGATTGTGCCACTGCACTCCAGCCTGGGTGACAGAGTGAGACTCCATCTAAAAAACAAAAAAAAAAAAGGTCATTTGGAGAAAGTTAACTTTTTTTTTCAAGTAACATGCCCCCCAAAATCATAAACAAATGATGGCAAATAATGGAATCTTTACCTTAAAATGACAGAGGACAATACCTTCTCAATTACTAAAAACCCTTTTCTTCTTCATTAATGAGAGCTAGGGGAAGGAGGCCTTGCATTTTTGTATTTTCATTTTATGACTAAAGGAAAACTTTAAAAATAATTTATGATTTTTTTTATCACATGGAAGACAGAAACAACTAACCAACCAATAATAAGTGCTTTCATGAAAAACCAACCTGATTCAGACTGCTAGAGACTCGTTCAGAAAAAGAGAAATGAAAAATAGGGGGTAATAGGAAGGGAGATAAATGGAAGCCCTTTGCTTTCATTCCAAAAAGAGAACTTAGTGGCATTATTATTTTTTTTATAACAGTTTAAAGATTAACAGAGAAAAGGCTTTGTGGTAGCTGATTCTTGGGTATCAGACTAAATTATTTACATTGTTTTAGTTTTAAAAGTCTAAAATATTGATTGCTATTTTGAAACTGATAATGGAATTTTCTTTAGGATTAGCACCTGAGAAAATGAATTTCCTGAGAAATTAATCAGACTGAAATTTTGAATTAAAAAGTGATATTTTATTGTATTTGAAAACTATATGAATGTTTTTTGTTTGTTTACAAAAAAATTAGTTGTATTGTCCTAAGCAGAAGATAAAACAATGCTACTGTTCCTCAATGTGCTTTATTTTATGAGGTTTACTTAAAATATTGGTACTGATTAATGAATTTGGGAGCAATCAAATCACTAATATTTTATTATGGTTTCTGATAAAGTCATGAAAGTCTTTAAAGCAATCAGAGTATATTGGAATTGAAATCTTAATTGTGTGAATAGTATTCTCCCTGTGCCTTTTCTTTAAAATGTTGTTTTATGAGTGGAGATGATTTTTGATAGCTGGCTAACTAGTCTTGAGAAATACCTTTTAATGTGCTTGCTAATATTTTCTCTTTGTTTATTTTTCAGATGCAAATACTGTGACAGATCATTTAGCATATCTTCTAACTTGCAAAGGCATGTTCGCAACATCCACAATAAAGAGAAGCCATTTAAGTGTCACTTATGTGATAGGTGTTTTGGTCAACAAACCAATTTAGACAGACACCTAAAGAAACATGAGAATGGGAACATGTCCGGTACGTAATAAATTGTGTTATAAGTCAAAGATGACTTCTTTTTCGTGTTTTAAAAGATAATAAGATAATGTGATCTTTCTTCTTTTATTCCATTTTGACGCCAAAATCAGGTCTTATTGTAAAAATTCCCAGGAAGTTTCTGTTGAGATTTTAGAATAATGTGAGCAATGTGATCATTAATTTATAATTCAGTGGCCTTATTTGGATTATGTTTTTATCTTCCTAATGGGTAATTTTAAGCAAAGAGGACAATGACCTAAACTCGCAGGAGACTTATGAAACAAGATTTCCTAAAATACAGGGGACAGTCTTTTCACCTGTTGGCACAGAATGTGGCCTCTAGGCATGGCAGAGTCTCTAGAGTAGCAGCCCCAGAATGTCACCCTCTGAATATTAATCTAGAAAGCATAGCTGCTTTTGTAAAAGGCCTGCAGCTCAGAGAACCTCTCTTGGTAATTTTTGTTAAGACTGGGAATATGAGACTATTGACATGATCAGAGCAACCCATAGCAAATGATAGTAGTGCTTTGTTTTTGTCACAAATTCTTATATGAAAGTAAGATAAAAGTAACTGGCATAAAACTAGACTTTTCTTAACTGGGACCTTGCCAGCACATATTTAGCAGAAGGGATTGTAGGTTTTCTAGTCTTTGGCTTCCAATAGTTAGATAATAAGTCATTAAGTAACATTTGCCAGCTGGCATATGTGTGCAGAGCCAACCTGTGCAGTCACAATTTGTCTCCAGAGAATAAAGGTTATGCTTTGGGGGTAGGGGAGGAGAGATACAGAATTCAGGCAAAGAGATTTAAGAACAGAAAAAATTTGGATTAATACAGACTAGCAATCTTTATTTATGGAATTTTTTAATTATTAATCTTTCTTCCCCTATAAAGGCACATTATTTATGATCTTGTCTGATTAGTACTTAAAAGTATATACTGTTCGTCTCCCTCAAAGTCAGCAATTTAATGATCATAGTTTTAAAATATTAGATTTTAGGTAGAGAAGTATAATCCAATGTGCAAAACTGGCCACTCTAACTGTGTGTACCCTTATAGCATACAACTATAATTTTCTTATCAAAGTTATTTTAAGAAAAAAGGTTAAACATGTAACATGTCAAAGTTAATACTTTTTGACCAAGATTGTAACCTCTTTTAGGTGAGGGGATGTTCTAACCTCCTGTTTTTGTCATATAGACTATTGTGATGAACTATTATATTACAGATACTTTGTAGGCAAGATAAACAACAGGAAGCTAATGTTGGTGTAAAGCTCAACCACATATAAAGTGCTTAAGTGTAAAAGTGGTTTAAGTTTATGTAAGCCTTACACCAATCCAGTGATACGGGTATTGTGAGTCTTGCAGTGCATAGGCAAGGAAGGGGAAGATCATCCTGTAATCAGCATATCTAATATTGTCCTTTTAATACTGCACCAACCCCTGGACTGGAGTGTTCTGAGTCAACTCACAGCTTCGCCCAGCAAACCAGGATGCAGAATTTTCAGTGTGCCTTTAAACTGTATTTTGTTATATGCTTTAGCATAGTAGCCAAAAAATAAATAAATAAATAAAAAGGCATGTTGACTGCAACCAGGACTTCATATAGAGTGTCTCTTGGCAGAATCTATTTAAAACTTGTTCATAATTTGTCTCACTCTAAATTCTCATTATGTGAATACAAATATTCTCATGTCACAATAGAGGTAAGGAAAAGCTAGTGAGAGAAGCACCTTCTTTGCGAGACTGTACTTCATGATTTCAGTGGTTCAATATATTCCCAAAGGACCGTCATGGGCATGTGTATTATGGTAAACTGGGGAGACTTTGACTTTCTAAAGTTATTATTATTAATATTCATAGGGCATGTTTTAAGAAACAGCACTGATCAAATTCATAAGGAGTGAGTTTCCAAATAAGTTGCTAGATAAACAATAATCTTTGTCATAAAAGGCTTTCTGCTCCACACAGGTACAGCAACATCGTCGCCTCATTCTGAACTGGAAAGTACAGGTGCGATTCTGGATGACAAAGAAGATGCTTACTTCACAGAAATTCGAAATTTCATTGGGAACAGCAACCATGGCAGCCAATCTCCCAGGAATGTGGAGGAGAGGTAAAGCTGTCTTTTACTTTTTAAACTCTGTGACGACTGAAATGAACATGTTTTAAAATATACTTGCTATGCTCACTTTTGTGGCACTACTATTACTTCAGTCACCAAAGACTGGTATATATTTAGTACATATTAAATACCACATTAAATGCTTCCAAGCATTTTACATGTGTTAATTAATTTAATTTCATCATAACCCTATGAGATAGCCACTATAATTTTAGCAGTGAAGGAATGGAGACATTGAAGCTTAAACCATTGTGTCAGAGGTCACATAAGTAATCAATGGGATTCAACCTGAGCTCTCTGGTTCCAGAGCCCATAATTTTACCAGGATTTAGCTATCTGATAGCTGAATAGAATCTGTTATCAAAATTTCAGAAGTAGAAGAGAAAGCCGTCACAGGGATTCAGTTGAATCACTGATCAATAGTGGCTACTATTATACATCATAAATTATATATATTACAGGTAATATATGATTCTATATACCTGTATTATACATAAATACATATATGTATATTCTGTATATATGTAATATACATATTATAGTACATATGTATGTATGCATTTATATATGAAATACCCATGGAGTTTCCCCCAAATATATTTTACATAGAAGCTTTTATAGTCTTCTTAAGATTCTATTGCTACTTTATGTCCTCTTAAGTGACTACTCATTTAATTCTGGTCTGTTTGTTTCAGTGGGTATGAACATCCTTGTTTTTACTGCCCTGATGCACTGGCTCCCTTTTATCATCACCAACATTAAGCATGAATAGCTTAATTCATTTAAAAAAGCTTTTAATGCTGTTAATGATAATACTTAACAGTTACCCAGCACTTCACATTGCATATGAAGTTAATGAAACACTATTTCACCAAAACTACTGGATTTAATTTTTCTTATCTGTAAGCTATAATTAAATATCTATTGTTGAGAAGTAGACTTTTCTGAACACGACTATATAGTGACCTATTAAATTCAGATGCTACATTGTAAATTTCAAAATAACATGAAATTAGTTAAAAGTTCCATTATTTTTCATCATACAAGTATTATTGGATTAGTGTCCTCTGTTTTTGATGTTATCAAAAGTCAAAATTAATTATTTTATGTAATTTTTTCAAGGCAAACATCAAATAAACATTTTTTACTAAAATAACAAAAAAAATGACCACTTCTGTTTTTCAACTTGTATAAAAGTGTATCAAAGAAAAACAAGAAAAAAGACCCTTCCAGTCTCTGAGAAGTCTGATAACTACACCAGTGTGCAGTTGGATGTACCTTTCCCTTTACTTGCCCATTTGTGTGTGTGTGTGCGTGTCTGTCTGTCTGTTTGTGAAAGGGAGAGAGGAAGCAGATGATCAGAAGGACAAAGTAGCAAGAACAAGCAAGAAACAGTGACGATCTTATACTTTGATAATGATATTTACTTGATGCAAATAAGAACTGTTGAACAAAACACACCATTTGGGTTCTGAGATGCCTATTCAAATTTTCTAGCCTTTAATTGGCGATTTGTGAGCCTGTATAGTTGCAACATCTGGCTTCAGCATGTCTAAACAGCACAGAAATAAGAAGGTTGAGTCATCTAAGTTTTTCCCCTGAACTCCTACCAGGCTACTTTTGATGAATAATTTATTCTCTGTAAATTGCCACATTTGAAAACTTAATTAACAAATAGATTTTCTTAATTATGTTGGCTTTTGTTACTTTTGATTTTCATCCATGCACTCTTTTTGTTCTTTTACTTTTTCTTTCTTTTTTTTAAATAAAAATTTTAATCCACTCATGCAAGCAAGTTGGCAGTGTGTTTGGAAACTAATTTATGTCTGTGCAAAAGATGTTTTCACCATTCTTTGATAAAAGAGGTTAAGCGATTGTTTTTATTAAAAGCTTAATAATGATATGACTTTTTCTGGTCAAATGGATTTTTACTATGTGTGTTTGTCACATCCAAGATTGTTTTATTTATTTTTTAATCCTGGGAAATCTGAATATTAAATTATACTCATTTTTGTTATGTGGGAAAGTGATGGGGGTACATTGTAATACCTGAGCTTTTTCCACCCTGGCGTTTTCCTGAGAAACAAGGAACTATTTCACATTCAGACTGTAAAAAATAATTTGAAAATAGTACAAATAAGTGAGCTGTCAATTACTTCCAAATATGGGTAGAGTGGTTAGGTGGAATGTACCACAAATGTCATCTAGTATCAGTAAATACCAGTTGTTTCTTGGTAACTACTTTAACATTGTCTTTGGACTTTTAGAGTCACTTTAGGCATGTGTATTGTAGCTACGGCCCATGAGTGATATGAATTTTCCAGAAATCTATTATTTTAAATGGTGGGTACTTACATGGCAATTAGGTAAATTGTGCTGAGAACATACTTATGTGCCTTTTTATATGATATATATAGCAATATCAATTATCAAGCAAAGTCTGATAAGAAATGGGAGACCAAGATTGTTTTTCGGGTTCTGCCAGAGGCTTCATTTATAATCTGAACAATCATACAATTATTTTTTTCTTTATCTTCCCATTTGTGAAGTCACATTATTTTTTCATGGTTGACGTAGAGCATAAACAATAAAACATTTCCGATGTTAAGTGTTGAAAATCTAAACTGTTGTTGGGAAGACATAATAAAGGAACAAATTACAATTTTAAAAATGAAACCAACAATTGGACTTTTTTTTTAATGCTTTTGAAAGAATGAATGGCAGTCATTTTAAAGATGAAAAGGCTTTGGTGACCAGTCAAAATTCAGACTTGCTGGATGATGAAGAAGTTGAAGATGAGGTGTTGTTAGATGAGGAGGATGAAGACAATGATATTACTGGAAAAACAGGAAAGGAACCAGTGACAAGTAATTTACATGAAGGAAACCCTGAGGATGACTATGAAGAAACCAGTGCCCTGGAGATGAGTTGCAAGACATCCCCAGTGAGGTGAGTACCTTGGGTGACTTTAGAAACTAAGCTAGAGTAGATCCATGTACGGTTGCAATTCCTCCTGTGATAAGCAATTTGTGAGTTATAAATCACAAAAATTAAACTTGAATTAGTAAGGGATACATGGTGGATCAGATTTAAATAGATGAAAATAAGGTGGCTATCAACATAATCCACAAGCATATAAATACATCAGGTTTGGTGCAACTCTGATTAACCTGAGGTGGGAAAGATAAAATGAAAATTACATAAGTACACAATCATTTATTGTTAGACTCTACCTATAAAACTCAAAGAAAAATAGAGATTTTGACGTTATCTAATTATACAATAATCTGGCATGGTCATCAGTTAAGTATAATTGAGATAAACTTCACTTCAGTAGATATATATGTGATCTATATAGATGATAACTTTTTAAATGAAAAGAAATAACCAAACAGTTAAATTGATGGGACTATTATATTTTCATGATGGATGTTGACTAAATATTGTCATAATTAGCTTTACTTTAAATGGAAATAATGAATATATGAATTCTGTCTCTGCCTATTACTGACTAATGTGTCACTGACTTTAACTCTTTATCTCAAATATATGCTTGGCTTTAGTTACTAAAAATCTTAACAGAAATATATTTTTAAGACATGATGTTTGTAAGTATTTATAAAAACCCAATAATTGATGCATGCTACTTTACCTTGCAGATACAATATGAAGTTTGTCAGTTGTATAGATAGATTCAAATGAAAGTGATTTGATTAGATAACAAATGAAAAGAAAATTTCTGTGTTTTTCGTTGGTTCATTTTAGGTATAAAGAGGAAGAATATAAAAGTGGACTTTCTGCTCTAGATCATATAAGGCACTTCACAGATAGCCTCAAAATGAGGAAAATGGAAGATAATCAATATTCTGAAGCTGAGCTGTCTTCTTTTAGTACTTCCCATGTGCCAGAGGAACTTAAGCAGCCGTTACACAGAAAGTCCAAATCGCAGGTACAGATTTTCCCATAGTACAGCATCATGGTTACATTATGCATGAAACGTACATTTCCTTTGATTACCAAAAAGCAAATATTCTATCTTTGAAATATTTTAGAATCCAAATGGGGTCAGATGCCTTTCTAAAAATGTTCATATCTTTACTGTATTTATGACCAAATCCAAAATAGTTAAGCAAGAAAGCAATTAATTTAGCTGCATTCTGTATAGAAATTTTATGACAAGCCCCATCCTACACTTATCTTTCCTTGACTTTGCAATTCTCTTACTTTTGTACAGTTAGTTCATCATGTTTGTTTACAAATATTTATGTATTACCTCAGAGTCATTTTCCGTGTCTATACTTTTGTCAATGTAATTATATTTTAAGATTTTTCTGAAAAGTGAATTCTATTTTTTGTCCCCTTCTATGTCTAGTAAATTGTTAGGTGTAGTTAATTAGCAAGTCATCTCATGTTGTAATTTAATAGTAAAATGAGGATCAGAAAGGAAGTGAGTTGCCAAAGGTCTACACCAACTTACTGGCAGATTTGGAAATAAAACCTGTCAATTTAAATTCAACAAATGAATGAGTGAATGAATGGTACTCAAATTTATTAGGCTCTACAACATTGTATCAGCACTATGGTAACTAAAAATAAATCTATTTAAGGGTCCATAAATAGCAATTAAAAGAGCCTCAGTGTTTTTGTTACAAAATAAAGGAAGTCGGTACTTTTTTGTTTGACATCCACACTCAACCGGATTGTTCATTCAGGTCAATTAAAAATAAAGAAACTTCCTATTACCATATTTATTGGGCACTGTGGTCTAATTGCCTGATCCATTAGTTCATTTTGTATGTGGCCTGACCTGCAATGTGACCATATTAGTTTGTACATTTGGAAATGATTTTCTATTTGGGTAAGATGTCTGGGTTTGTCTTAACAGCAAATGTAATAATATCCCAAGGAAGTTGGGAAAAACATTGTGTCAATGGGATAATACAAATCATTAAATAATATTCAATTTAGTAAAAAGTTCTGAGATATTATGTATGGTAATAGGTAAAATAAATGTTCTTTCTCAACTGAAGTTAAAGCAGCCACCATCTACAGAGGCTCCTAGAGCCTACCTCCATGAACTTAAGAACATCACTTAAAGACTATAGGTACCATTTCTTCATTGTAAAAGGGGTAAGTGGATTTTTATTCAATGGGGATAAAAATGAAGTTTCCAGTTTTTAACATTAAAGGTAAACTAGCTAGAGTAGACATTTCATTTTTACTTAGAGACATCCATAAGGGGTGGCTAGTATTTTTTTTTAACCCTTGATTTCCCATTCTTCCATCCTTGTTGATTAGAGATAACTTGAGTATCAAGGTTTTTGGTTTTTTGTTACTTGTTTCTTTGTTTTTGAGACAGGGTCTCACTCAGCTGCTAAGACTGGAGTGCAGTGGTGCAATCACGGCTCACTATAGCCTCGACTTGCTGGGCTCAAGTGATCCTCCCACCTCAGGCATCTGGATAACCGGGACTATTGACACTCACCACTATGCCAGGCTAATTTTTCAATTTTGTGTAGAGATGGGGTTTCACTATGTTGCCCAGGCTGGTCTCAAATTCCTGAGCTCAAGCAATCCTCCCACCTCAGCCTCCCAAATTACTGGGATTTGTATAGGTGTGACCCATTGCACCTGGCCATGGTTTTTTCTTTTTAAATTTCTTTTAATTAGTCCACCAAAAATGCTTCTTATTTATTGTAAGATATAATACCTAAACACTCCAGAAACTGCCAGAAGTGACAGAAAGCAAAAGGGCCTGAAAACCTACAGATAAGGGATATAATTATAATACATTTTAGTACCAGCATTTTGACATAAAGTCCCAACCCAGCTGGACTGTTACTGTTATAAGAAACACTAGCATTTTGCAATCCTAAGTCATATTTTTCTTGTTACTTGATCATGTTATATAGATTAGTTTGAAAATGGTCAGGCCCTTTTGCAAATTCACTTTATTTCATAATATCATTCATTCGTTCATTTATTAACTACCAGCTATATGCTGGGCACTGATCCTTATATATGAAAATGTTTATTTCCTTTGATTACCAAAAGGCAGATATGCTGTTTTGCCATTTTCTAGAATCTAAAGGCTCAGATGCTTTAGTCAAAGCATTCATATATTTATTCTGTAATTTTTATAGTCTGTAATTTTTATAGTGATTGAATTGAAAATAGTTGACCAGTACAATAGTAGCTGCATTTTGCATGTGCTCTCCCTCAAGAAACTCTATCCGGTAAAAATTAATTTCATGGTAATAGGTACTATTTATGTATTACCTCAGTCAGGCACACTGAGCTAAACACTTTATGTAAGTTAGTGCATGTGATTCCTCCACAACTCTTGGAGGCCAATACTGTTATTACTATCATCTGTTTTATAGGAGGAAAGTAAAGCTTAAAAGGTTAAGCAACTTGCTCAAGATCACACAGCTAGGTGAGTAGAGGCAGGTTTAAAGGCAGGATTAAAATTTAAATTCCAAAATTTTCTTTGTACTCCTTTTTATCTTCCCAAATATCAGAATTTGTTTTAACTCTTTCAGAGTACTCTTTATCTTGTTCTCTAAAAGTAGGTACATAATCAGAATAGATAATTTAGGTTGAATGCTCACTTAACCCATACTTTAAACTCTGCCAAAGATAAGTACTCTATATTATTTATTCTTAATTTCTTAGGATCTATCACAGAGCCTGGCATAGAGTAGATGCTTAAGAAATATTTGTTAAATGGATCATGAGATATTGTAGAAGTCCAAAAGGCAAATTGCATACATAAAAGTCAAATGTGTACATTTAGAGCGATGACCCAGCAAATCAAAAATCAGCCTACAAGGGTAAATTTTCTAACTAAATGCAATGATTACGGAAGAAACCACAGACTGGCCACATGTCTCAGCATGACTCCCAGAGATGAAATTCTGCCTAACAACAGAGGCATTTTGTCTTTGTTTACAGACAGTGGAATGTCTTTGGCAGGACTTTAATGATTCCACTTCAGCAGCATTTTGACAAGCAAGTTTAGCAATGGATGAGACCAACAATAGCAAATCAACAGTGAAAAGTTCACTTACAAGTCAAGACCAAACATTTCATTTGAATATTTTGCTTGGCAGTAAATAGGGGACTCTCTGAACAGTTATTTAAAATTTGACATGATAATAGGGAAGAAAGAGTACTTCCTCACAGAGCACCTCCATGCACCTTCTGCTCAGCAGACACTGGAAAACAAGTTGATTAGAACACTGTTGGGTCTTGTGTTTGGTTTTATTTTTTTGGTAGAGCTGATTTGATCCACCTCAACTTATGGGTGCCAGGACTGAGTATGTCAAGCATGGAGGGAAATTGGAGAAAAGACAATGGATTAAAAGTTGGGCAGAAATACATTTTAGTTATGCTTCTCCCACTATCTATCTAATTGAGTGACTTTGGGCAAGTCACTCAAGCACCTTCAGTGCTTTCGGTTATAAAGTGTAGGAGTCAGGCTGTATCCTCTACTAGGCCACAGCTCTGTCAAGGTAGGTCTATATCTTATTAATATTTGAGGTTTCAGTCATAAGCACACAATAATATTTTTGGTGAATTGAACATATGTAGTGGATGGATGACTGTATTTATAGTTGAACAGGAGACTGACTCATTTTTCTCAATGGAAGCACTATTTGCATTTTAGGTAGGATAGTTCTTTTTGGTTCTGTAGCGTGTGTCACTTTTGGGGCCCCTAGGCACTAAAGGCCAGCAGTAATCCCATGTGGTTTCTACAAAAAATATGCCTTCTTTGCCAAACACACCCATGAAGGATGCCCCTACTCAGGGTCCCATCCCTTTCCATTTACCAACAATATTCTTTGAACTAAAAGTGATGTTTTTCAAATGCCATTTACTGAGTCTCTCTCCTTTTTACCCCAGGCATATGCTATGATGCTGTCACTGTCTGACAAGGAGTCCCTCCATTCTACATCCCACAGTTCTTCCAACGTGTGGCACAGTATGGCCAGGGCTGCGGCGGAATCCAGTGCTATCCAGTCCATAAGCCACGTATGACGTTATCAAGGTTGACCAGAGTGGGACCAAGTCCAACAGTAGCATGGCTCTTTCATATAGGACTATTTACAAGACTGCTGAGCAGAATGCCTTATAAACCTGCAGGGTCACTCATCTAAAGTCTAGTGACCTTAAACTGAATGATTTAAAAAAGAAAAGAAAGAAAAAAGAAACTATTTATTCTCGATATTTTGTTTTGCACAGCAAAGGCAGCTGCTGACTTCTGGAAGATCAATCAATGCGACTTAAAGTGATTCAGTGAAAACAAAAAACTTGGTGGGCTGAAGGCATCTTCCAGTTTACCCCACCTTAGGGTATGGGTGGGTGAGAAGGGCAGTTGAGATGGCAGCATTGATATGAATGAACACTCCATAGAAACTGAATTCTCTTTTGTACAAGATCACCTGACATGATTGGGAACAGTTGCTTTTAATTACAGATTTAATTTTTTTCTTCGTTAAAGTTTTATGTAATTTAACCCTTTGAAGACAGAAGTAGTTGGATGAAATGCACAGTCAATTATTATAGAAACTGATAACAGGGAGTACTTGTTCCCCCTTTTGCCTTCTTAAGTACATTGTTTAAAACTAGGGAAAAAGGGTATGTGTATATTGTAAACTATGGATGTTAACACTCAAAGAGGTTAAGTCAGTGAAGTAACCTATTCATCACCAGTACCGCTGTACCACTAATAAATTGTTTGCCAAATCCTTGTAATAACATCTTAATTTTAGACAATCATGTCACTGTTTTTAATGTTTATTTTTTTGTGTGTGTTGCGTGTATCATGTATTTATTTGTTGGCAAACTATTGTTTGTTGATTAAAATAGCACTGTTCCAGTCAGCCACTACTTTATGACGTCTGAGGCACACCCCTTTCCGAATTTCAAGGACCAAGGTGACCCGACCTGTGTATGAGAGTGCCAAATGGTGTTTGGCTTTTCTTAACATTCCTTTTTGTTTGTTTGTTTTGTTTTCCTTCTTAATGAACTAAATACGAATAGATGCAACTTAGTTTTTGTAATACTGAAATCGATTCAATTGTATAAACGATTATAATTTCTTTCATGGAAGCATGATTCTTCTGATTAAAAACTGTACTCCATATTTTATGCTGGTTGTCTGCAAGCTTGTGCGATGTTATGTTCATGTTAATCCTATTTGTAAAATGAAGTGTTCCCAACCTTATGTTAAAAGAGAGAAGTAAATAACAGACTGTATTCAGTTATTTTGCCCTTTATTGAGGAACCAGATTTGTTTTCTTTTTGTTTGTAATCTCATTTTGAAATAATCAGCAAGTTGAGGTACTTTCTTCAAATGCTTTGTACAATATAAACTGTTATGCCTTTCAGTGCATTACTATGGGAGGAGCAACTAAAAAATAAAGACTTACAAAAAGGAGTATTTTTCCCCACTGTGTGGTATTTTTCCTTCATGCAATTTTACTTTCCCTTTGGGATCCAATGATTTAAAGATATGATGCTGAGATCTTGATGCCCTACAGATATGTGGAATGTAGAGTATGTTTGTTTTGTTTTGAGATAGCATAAATGATAGTTCTTGGGCAACAATGAGTCTCGCTTATTGTTCTGTACTTTCCCCATGTGGTGCAGTCAGGGCTCAAGTGCACCACAACCCAGTCCTGGTATCACTTCACGTTCACAGCATCCACTTAAATTAGGACAAAGAGCGACTTACAGGTTTTCTACGGATTGTATGCCAAAAGGAACTCAGTTTCTTATTTTTGTTTTTCATTATACGAGTAGTGTTAACTGATTCACAAAGGGGGGAAACCTTTGACTTTTCTATGCTCCTTTTAATTTTTTGTCCACATGCAAAATATCCTTTTTTCATTGTTATAACTGCGTGTAAACAAGATTTATTTTTTCTTTCTTTGCTTGTGTCAAAAGAAAAAAAAATTACACTGCATAGTGCTACAAATTCTTCAAAATAATAATGTAGCAGTTTCCCAATATTCCATCATTTGATCTACTATAATTTCCTCCACCACTTTAATTTTGTTGAAGATTTTTCTGCTATTTGCTAGTCAGCAATTATATTTTAATTTTCAAGCATATAATTGTTTCTGTGTGTTCATATATGTACATACAGAGTTGGAATGTGAGTAGTAGTACTTCCATAAGATAAATTCTCTGCTGGGGGAGCAGTTATTTATTTTTTTTGCTCTTTAAGCATAATGCCAAGTTGTTTTAGAGTAGACTTATTCTAATTTTGGCTGATCGTAGAGATTTAACAAGGCCTGAATAAATTAGTATGACATGTAGAAATAGATTCAGACCGATTTTTTCATTTGTTTATTCATTCTTAGCCACAATATCAGATACATAGAGAATCTCCCTGCATCCTTTCTAAATGTGGGTAGAATAAGAATTAAAAATATAGGGTATGTTTATTAATTTTTTTTACAGAAAGTACGCACAGGAAGTATTCAGAAAATATATTTAAGCTATAAATCCATTAACTAAGGCAAATAAGAATTTAGTATTTACGACATAAGAATGGCATATTTGAGAAAAGAGAAATCTGGAATATGCAGGGCATTTTTCATTGTTTTAAAGAATGTACCAGGCTGGGTGTGGTGGCTCATGCCTGTAATCCCAGCACTGTGGGGAGCTGAGCCAGGAGGATCACTTGAGCCCAGAAGTTCCAGACTAGCCTGGGCAACATGGCCAAGCCCTATCTCTATAAAAAATACAAAAATTAGCCAGGAGTGGTGGTGCAGGCCTGTAGTCCCTGCTACTTGAGAGAGGCTGAAAGGTGGGAGGATCACTTGAGGCTGGGAGATGGAAGCTACAGGAATGTACCACTGCACTTCAGCCTGGGTGACAGGGCGAGACCTTGTCTTAAATATATATACAAATTCTGAAGCAGTTCAAGTATTCCCAATGCAACTGGCTTCTTGTTAGGCTTTGAGCATAACTTTTCAGTTGTTTGCTAATACTTGGTTCCTCCGATTTCCAAAAAGGCATTCAACCTTACATTTCTGCTTGTTTCCTCCATTTATTTAGCCAGTAGCCCTTCACTACATGGCCCTGGAGAGGGACAGTGAGATATGGTGGAGACAATCTTGGACTTGGAAACTGAAGGCCAGGGTCTGAGTTCTGGCTCCACCACTTTACTGGCTTCAAGGTCTTGGGAAAGTCATATATCTCCCATTCCATCTGTGAAACAACAGTAATAATAACTGCTGCACCTACTAATTCATTGGGTTTCTGTGAATGTCAACAATCAAAATAACTTTTTGAAAATATTTGATAATACTTCTATAAATACAAAACATTTTATAATTTTTGTGGTAACAAAGGAATAGAAAATGTGTGTGTGTATACAGAGTTATGAGGAAAAATTTATAATACAACAGAAATCTAAACTTAAAAAAAAACTGGATATGGAAGTTTAGGGAAAAGTTAGGTATTTCTTGAAAAAATATGTAGGTTTAAAAAAATAACACAAGCCAAACTTCTTTAAAACATAAGATGCCCAGAATTATTGTTTATTTATTTATTTATTTATTTATTTATTTTTCTTCCTTTTTTTTTTTTTGAGACAGTATCTCCCCTCTGTCCCCCAGGCTGGATTGCAGTGGTGCAATCTCAGCTCACTGCAACCTCTGCCTCTCAGGTATAAGGGATTCTCTCACCTCAGCCTCCAGAGTAGCTGGGATTACAGGCACGCGCCATCATGGCCGGCTAATTTTTTTTGTATTTTTAGTAGAGATGGTTTTTCACTATGTTGTCCAGGCTGGTCTCTAACTCCTGGCCTCCAGTGATCCACCCGCCTCGGCCTCCCAAAGTGCTGGGATTACAGGCATGAGCCACCGCTCCCGGCCCTGTTTTTTGAATTGGCAAATAAAAATTGCACATATTTGTGGTATATAACAGGATATTTTGATATATGTATGCATTATGGAATGGCTAAACAAGCTAATTAACATATACATTACCTTTCTTTGTGTGTGTGTGTGAGGAGAGCACATATACTCTATCCTCTTAACAATTTTCAAGTAATCAATATATTGTTATTAATTGTAGTCACCATGATGTATAATAGATTTGTTGAACTTTTTTTTTTCAGTATAATTTTTGAGGACTCTCAAAAAAATTCAAGAAAAGGTAAGAAAACACATTCATAATTTTATTTTTAGATAATGACCATCTACCAATATTAATTTCCGTAAAGAATAAAGAAAATTATTATTCATTTTTAAACTGCCTGTTATGTTGATAGCACGCTGGAAATGGGTATATTCATTACCGTAACTAACCTTCACAATAGGCCTACAAGCCGGCAGTCTTATTCCTGTTTTATGGATAAGGAAAACTGGAGCTCAGAAAATTTAAGAACCTTACTCAGAGGAGCCCAGCTGACTGCCTGGGAATCCAGGAGGGCTGACTCCTTAGCCCACACTTAGCTGAGAGTCTCAGACCTCCTGGTTCAGGCACAGCTGAAGAAAAGCCAAAATGGGGCCGGACGCGGTGTAATCCCAGCACTTTGGGAGGCCGAGGCGGGCAGATCACGAGGTCAGGAGATCGACCATCCTGGCTAACACGGTGAAACCCCGTCTCTACTAAAAATGCAAAAAAATTAGCCGGGCGTGGTGGCGGGCACCTGTAGTCCCAGCTACTCGGGAGGCTGAGGCAGGAGAATGGCGTGAACCCAGGAGGCGGAGCTTGCAGTGAGCCAAGATGGCGCCACTGCACTCCAGCCTGGGCGACAGAGTGAGACTCTGTCACACACACACACACACAAAAGCCAAAATGGAATATTCCAAAACTGAGGAAATGTGCACCCCTCTAATCCCCACAGTGAGGCTGTCAGGATGCAAATATGCCGAGGAGACATTTAGGCATCTGACTCTTGGCTGTGAAGGTTTTGAAAGGTGAGCGCTAAGGACTGGTTGCCAGGCTTTTTAAATTCAGGTTATCTCAAGTCAGAACCAACAATACTAGTGCTTTTGAAAGATTCTAAATGTTTCCTTAATAAGAGCCTTAGTTACCTTGTTTGCAAATTCCTAGCAGGTGGCTTAAGTTTCCTCTTTAGTTATTCTTTTTGTAAAAAAAAAAAAAATATTATCCAAAACCTACATTTTGAATGTATTAACACGGAAAGACTTAAGCCCTTTCTGAAATGATTAGCAGACTCATCATGAGAGAAAGCAAATGCAGCTCAGAAGTATTCTCATTTCATTCTCTCCAGGCTTAAAGAAACTTAATGAATGGAAGGAATACAGAGAGAAGTGGGAAGAACGGAGGAAACTTACCAAACAAATTGGGTCCAGGAGCCCTGAAGAGACTTTAGTGAACTGGACAGCTATTCCACAAGAGAACTGGGTTAGTATTGAATTGTTCCTTATATTCCGCATAACCATTTGTCGATACAAGAGGCTGTCCTTGGTGCAACATGTATTTCAAAAAAGAAGAGAACTACTTCACATCCATTAGAATATAGGCTAATATTTTTAAAAAATCACTGGTGAGAGTGTGGAAAAATTGGAACCCTTTGGATTGTTGATGGGCATATAAAATTGTGCAGCCACTATAGGGAATAGTATAGTGGTTTTTCAAAAAGTCGTGATTTCACTTATGGGTATACTCTCAAAAGAATTAGCAGGGTCTCTAAGAGATATTTGTACACTCATGTTCATAGCAGCATTATTCACAGTAGTGAAGAGGTGGAAGCAACCCAAGTGTGCATCAACGGATAAATGGGTAAACAAAATGTGGTATATACATGCAATGGGATGTTATTCAGCTTCAAAAATAAGGGAAATTCAGACACATGATGTAACATGGATAAACCTTGAGAACATCATGCTAAGTGAAGTAAGCCAGTCACAAAAAAACAAATAATGCCACTGGGCGTGGTGGCTCACGTCTGTAATCCCAGCACTTTGAGAGGCCGAGGCAGGTGGATCACTTGAGGTCAGGAGTTCAAGACCAGCATGACCAACATGGCGAAACTCTGTCTCTACTAAAAATACAAAAATTAGCCAGGCGTGGTGGCACACACCTGTAATCCCAGCTCCTCAGAAGGCTGAGGCAAGAGACTCACGTGAACACAAGAGGCAGAGGTTGCAGTGATCCGAGATTGTGCCACTTCACTCCAGCCTAGGTGACAGAGCGAGACTTTGTCTCAAGAAACAAGACAAAACAAAACAACAAATAATGTGTGATTGCACTTATGAGGCACCTAGAGCAGTCAATTCATAGGAAAGTAGAATGGTGGTTGCCAGGGGCTTGGGGAGGTGGGGAATGGGAAGTTGTAAATGAGTATAGAATTTCAATTTTGCAAGATGAAAAGAGTTCTGGAGATTGGCTACACAACAGTGTGAATGTACTTACTACTATTGAACTGTGCATTTAAAATTTTAAGATGATAAAAATCTTTGTTATGTATATTTTACCACGAATGACAAAGAAAAAAAAATACAATCCCACTCTGTTTATATGGTTCTTTTGACAGAAAGAATTTAATTCTATTCAGCTCAAGGAGAGAAGCAAATTATCAGGTGGATGTGGAACAGCTTACACAATCAAAGGGAAATCTGGAAAACCAGGCCTCATACACAACCCAGAACCAGTGGATAGGCAAGAGCAAGAACCAATAGGTAGCCTTGGGCTGCTATCATCAAGATGCATCAATTGTCATCATTTTCAGTCTTTTTTTTTTTGGTCCCTCTGTGTCCAGATTTAAATTTTAGAAATAGAGTAAGAAATTAGCCCTGCTTGAGATCCCAGCACCATCAAGAGCACCATTAATCCCACCTGAAGGTGTGGGGCAGGAAAGACTAGTTCCTATACAGTCGTATAGAGAGGCTCCTCACAAATAAGTGGGAATAAGTTATGGACATCAAAAACAACAAATATCCATACCACCTGTATCACTGGAAAACTAACATATATAAGGGCCAATAATTTCAGGCCAGGTACATAATTTGTTAATGTCAGGGGTAGAGGGATAACATAGATAGCACATACAAAATTAGAACTGCTCCAGAAGGACCTGTAATCCTAAAACATTACAGTTCTTTAATTGTCTTAGAGAATTCTTGAAGAATTATTTTGCTTTAAATGCTTCAGTTATTAATTTTACTGATGACTCTGCAAGACTCACAATGAAACTGTAGCCAAGTAGCCAAGTGTTACCGAGAATTAAAGCACACTGATTCATAAAGACATTTTGGGGGTGTATGCAAAAAAAATGGTCAGGAAGAAACTAAAGCTTTTGTCTAAATCAAAAGCATTCAATAATCAATATCTAGAAAGGAGAACAGAAACCACTCTAAATATTTTAAGCAGAGAAGAAGGATTTAATGCAGAGGGTTGCATTCAAGGGCATTGGAAGGGCTAGGAGAACAAAAGGAAGAAAAAGATGTAAAGGAGAGACCAGGAAATAACTAAGGGCCCCACTCCCCACGGAGTTACAGGAGTGTGGCTGCTGTTGCTGCTGCCTGGATGTTGCCCTTATTGCGGTTGCTGGAACCACTGATTGCCTTCACTTACCTGTCACTATTACTGATAAAGTCACCCCTCCTCCTGCCTTCTTACCTCCCTCAACTGCTTTCCATGGTACCTCACTGGAAACCAGGTAGCAAGAGAGTGTCGGGGGTGAAGATTTGGCTCATCAGGGCCCCTAAGATACAGTGGAATAGGGAAATGGTGCTGGTTACCAACAGACTATATCTGGCATAGAACTGCCTAAACTGGACATACATACCTAGTTAGTGGAGAAAGCCTCCAATAGCTCCCTATTGTTCTTCAAATGAATATCATCAGGTCGACATGGCCTCCAGGGCACCCCATGACCTAGTTCTTGCCTACCTGTTTAGTCTTTCCCTACTTGCCTTTCTCAGATTTACCGGATTACTTTCAGTCACCAAATTCAATTTCACTTCCAAGGACTGTGCACAGCATATGTGTGAACTTGGAGCACTCCTATCTTCCTCCAATCCAGAATCCCACTCCTCCAGTCATCCCCTATATTCTCACTTGGCTAATTTAGTTTATTCTTCAGATTTTAATGTACATGTTAGTCTTTCAGTGAAACATTCCTTGATATCTTCTCACTTTCTCTCACCTATTAGTGTAAATTAACTAGTCCTGTTGTGTCTCTCATCAAACAATTTGCCACACATTCAATGCACCTATTGCAATCTGTAATTGTATACATAGGTATTAGTGTATTATTTAAGAACTCTATTGCTAATGTCTTAGGCTCCATGAATGAACTAACTGTATCTACTTTGATCAATGCTGTTTCTCCAGTGACTACTATGGCACATTGTGTCTATTCTATACATTTTATTAAATAATGAATAAATAGATAAATTATCTAAAAGGACATATACCAAACTAGTATTCAGGGTTACCTCTAGGGAGCGCAGTGGGTAATTTTTTATATTACACATTTTTGACTATTTGATATTTTCAATAAGAATGAATTACTCTTGTTTTATTAAAAACATACTTCTTTTTATGAGCATAACCCATGAAAAAGAGATTCTCAGTTTAGGAATTTAACCTAAAAATTTGTTAGCATTACATACTAAGATTTGCGAACATGGATGTTGATTAAAACATTGATAATAATAAAATAATTGTTATCTACAAAGTAGTCAGTGAAAGAGACTCAGCAAAGTAAACTATGCTGTCTGCCTGTTTAAGTACATGAGCAGATAATCTCTATATGTTATTAACTGAAGAAGCAAGTTACAAATATCTGGAAGCTATATCATGTAACATTTTACTGGTTGGCAAGATTATGCATGAATTTCATTTGCTTTATTCTTGTTGTTTGTCTGCATTTTTACATTATCTAAAAGAATGTGTGGCTTTTTAATAAGACAAACTTTACAAAAACAAACAAATTCTTTTAAATTAGTTAAGCAAAGAGTAAATTACATAAAGAGAACAAAAAGAAATCTTGTGTGTGAGAGTGACAGGAGCCTTCTAATCATGCACTGTGAGGGAGGGCTGAGCCCAACCTGCTCACTATGCAGGTAACACAGTGAGATCTCAAAAGAGGGATGGTGGTTTTGTCTAAGGTGCAAGATCACATAGCTGATTTGGAGTCCAAACCCAAGTTTCTTCTTTCTAGGCCACTACAATGAGGAGTGGGTTATGAGCAGAGTGGGGTAAAATCCTGGTATCCAACAAAGGAGGTCGGGTCAAAGACTTCTGTGATAAGTTCAGGGGTTAGATTACCTCCAAATGTGCTCAGATTGGCTCTATGCCACAAAAGCCAAACTCAACTTCAGCTTGTTTTCATGTGTCACAAATGAAACAAAATATGTCTTAATGGCAACAAACGTATTGTCCATATTATAAAAGTAGAGTGTATTATCCATTTCCCACATGTTGATTCATAGCAATTTCGTTCCTGTTTGGAGCTCTAACTACTTATCAGAAATGGTGATGAACTAATAGTGATGAACAGAAATAACCAACTAAATAGTACTGAGCTCCTGTAAGCAAGAAAGAAGTGTTAAAAGCATCTTATGTAAAAATTCTGCCCTATTTTGACATCTCAGAAGGCAAAGCTCACTTTCAATACTTTCTCTCCATTATTTCCCTGCAGGATAAAAAGTTTTAGCTCCTTCCAAGCATTTCTTGTAGGAAGCAGTATCTTTAAATCAGGTTAAAGAAATCAGGAGAAAAAAAGAATCAGAGACCTCCCAAAGAAGCAACATTTACGAGTCTAGCAGGAGGCCAGCTAGTGTCATGACCTTGTCAGAAAATATGTCCTTACCTCCACCGTTGAAGTCATCCTGGTCTGTGATAATCATATGCGCTTCCTTTAAAACAATAATATATTATTTTACGAGGGATGACATATTAAGTGATTTCAATCAGCAGTAGTGAATCTGATCCTTTTCTCCGTGATAGTTATGGGAGGAAACGTATTTTTAAGAGGCCAAAAGAGGATGAAAATGGATGTAAGGGGACATATTTGAGGCCCTCCCTGAGCGGGTAAGACTGGGCTGTAAGAAGCTGAGGATGGTGGCAGCTATCTGAACAATCTGTCTTCATGGGCTGGGAGAAGGTGCCATAGGTGGAGAGAGAAGAATACAGCTTTCATTTTTGTTTTGTTCTGCTTTGCTTTGTTTTTATCAAGGACCAGTTCTTTCATCAACATTCACTTTCTAAAGATGAAATTAAGGACTAAGGTCTTCAATTTGACAGAATAAAAAGGCAGTAACAGAAGGATAAGTGGGAAATCTCAATGGACAATTTTCAATAAGTGAATATATTAGGATAGTAGGAGTAGGAAGATTCAATTGGCCCCATGGCTTTGTAAACCTCTTCAGAGCAAAACACACTGACTAAAACCTAAAGATTTAGATTGTTTACTTCCAAATGTCTTTACAGAGAAAAATAGTCTTTATGAAAAAGCATCTCCCCATTAGTATCACTAATTTAGTGTCAACTGTTATTTAAATGGGTAAATTGGTGGCATTTTTTTTACTGTTCTTGCATATATTTAAAATTAAAAATTTTCTGTTCGTATTCTTCTAAGTCCAATAATTTTTGTGTATAACTAACTAAAAAGTAGTTGCTGGGTCATTTCATTTTTTCCTAAAACACCATCCAAAGGTACAAAATGTTAAAGAATAATTAGAGATGGCTCGTGCCTGTAATCCCAGCACTTCGGAAGGCTGAGGTGGGCGGATCACCTGAGGTCAGGAGTTCGAGACCAGCCTGACCAACATGGAGAAACCCCGTCTCTACTAAAATAAAATAAAATAAAATAAATACAAAATACAAAATTAGCCAGGCATGGTGGCGCATCACTGTAATCCCAGTTACTCAGGAGGCTAAGGTAGGACAATCGCTTGAATCTGGGAGGCGGAGGTTGTGGTGAGCTGTGATTGGGCCACTGCATTCCAGCCCGGGCAACGAGAGAGAAACTCCATCTCAAAAAAAAAAAAAAGAAAAGAAAAAAGAATAATTAGAGAAAGTGGAATTGCTCTCATTCATGTTAGCATTCAGAAGCACTTTAGGACTATTGCATAGGCTTTACTGGGTACCACAGTTCTTAGAAAGGCAACAGCAATGTTGGAAAGGCACAGATGTAGAGTCGAAGAGATCTGCAGTCTTATCCTTTTTGCCACAAACTAGTTGTGTGATCTCACCCAAGAACAGTGAGCCCCACATTTTAATGATTTAGATAGCAACACAACTTTTGCCTTATCTCTAAGCCACTTGTATCATTATTTATTTAACATTTCTTTGTCTTGATTCATTTTTTACAGCTTGATAATTTTATTTGAAAAGAACATGTAAATAGAAAACTACTTGCTATAAATATAACTTAATAATAGAAATATGCACAATGAAAAACTACAATATTATTAGATTTTAGTGAGATACAGTTGCTCTTTAACTTATGATGGGGCTACATCCTGATCAACCCATAGTAAATAGAAAATATCATAAATAGAGAATGCATTTAATCCACCTAACTTACCAAACGCCATAGCTTAGCGTAGCCTCCCTTAAACATACTCGGGACATTTACATTATCCTACAACTGGGCAAACTCATCTGGCAACACAGTACGCTGTATAGCATATAGGTTCTTTACACTTGTGGTTGTGACCTAGACTGAGAAAAGATCAAAATTCAAAATTGGAAGTACAGTTTCTACTCAGTGCATATTGCTTTTGCACCACAGCGACATCGAATCATCATAGGTTGGGGACCATCTGTACTTGTGGTCGATGTTACTACATATTGAAAAGTACACATTCTTGTTAGGGAGATGCATGTAACTAGTTCTGTCTAATGGACTGTTAGGTGAAATGACATTTCACACTACTGGTCCAAGTAATTTTTTTTTTTTTTTTTTTGGAGACAGAGTTTTGCTCTTGTTGCCCAGGCTGGAGTGCAATGGTGCGATCTCAGCTCACCGCAACTTCTGCCTCCCGGGTTCAAGAGATTCTCCTGCCTCAGCCTCCCGAGTAGCTGGGATTACAGGCATGCACCACCATGCCCAGCTAATTTTGTATTTTTAGTAGAGATGGGGTTTCTCCATGTTGGTCAGGCTGGTCCTGAACTCCGGGTCTCAGGTGATCCGCCCGCCTCAGCCTCTCAAAGTGCTGGGATTACAGGCATGAACCACTGCACCCGGCCTACTGGTCCAAATAATTTAATTGCATTGCACAATTCTCTCTACCCTCTTCCTATGAGGAATGTGAAAAAGAATGTGAAATGTGAAAAAGAAAAAAGCTTCAAGTTTCAGATGACACAGTTCTAAGATGGTGGAGCCTCAGCCTTGGTCTCTAAGTGACTGTGGTGCATACCTGCTTTCATCCTGAATACAAACCCATATAGGGCATGTACTGTAAATAAGAAATGTGTTTTTGTTCAGTTTAGGCTCTGAGACATTGGATGTGTCTTTTGCCCACAGAAAAACCTAATCTATCCTGATTAATACAACACTGTTTCCTGCCTGACTGTGGGCTTTTTGTCTACTTGTTCTTTATTTTAAAAGGGGATATTATGAAGTGTTAGAGAGAGGTTAAAGAAATATTAGCTCTAATTTGAGATTTTCTTCCTTGTGTGTGATGAAAAACTTAGGAAAAATTAAAATGAGAACAATTTTCTTTCACGTACTTCAAATGTATCCCCATTCCTTAAAATATAATAGGAAAAATCAGTCAACTCTTTGCTTTAAATTGCATTATCAAGAAAATGATAGGAAACCACTGGCTTTATGATGATGAGAGAAAAATATCTGAAGATGGCAGTCACTTAGCATACAATAAAAATGTTTGGCAGGCTATATTTTAATGTTTCATGACATTTTGCAGTGTAGCACAGTATTTTGAAGGGCAAATATTTCTTTAGCACCATTTTAGGCTCGAGATAGAAGAAAGGATGAAATTTTGGTTGCGGCAAGCTTCTCTGAGCAGACGACATTCATGTAGAGACCTCATTGTTGGAAAGAAGTCCTCCATGAACGATCTGGATGAAAGTGTAGCAGGTAAAGGGAACAGTATGTAAAGATCTGCAGACACCCTGATAGATGTGGTGAGGGAGTAGAGTCAAGGAGACCAGATACCCAGGGAACAAGTTGTAGAAGACACAAAAAAGTGTCTCATTTGAAATATGAACTGTAAAACTAATTGAGGGTTTGGCCTGCAACGTAGCCTAATATTACCTAAAACAATAGTTATCATTCACTGAATTCTTACCATGCACCCAGCACTGAGGATAATGCTTTTCTTCCACTTCTTTGTTTTTTAACCTTCACAACAATCCTGCCTGTGAGATAGGCAGTATTATCATTCCCATTTTCTCATCTAGAAAATGGAAGCAAAAGAGGTTAGGAAACTTACCCAAGACTACACAGCAGGTCCATTAAAGAGCTGGGAATCCACCCAGGTATATTTGACTCCAAAGGCTGTGCACTCAATCACTCTTCCGTCCTGATGACAAGGAATGCTATTTTACTTTTCCACTGATTAACCAGCAATTCCATTTTTCTCTATTAACTGTGTCCTGCTGCTTGTCTTTTGAACATTTGGATTCTGATCATGAAGACAGCCTAGGATATATCCATGTGCTTAGAATTTTGCCTGTATAAACAAAACACTTTGCAGAGGAATGCAAGGGTTGAGGGTTGCAAGAACAGTCCAGCTATGCAGAATAGGATGGATGCCACTTAACTTTGACCAATTACTTACATATGTCTTGAACAAGAAAACTATTTGTTGGTTTCCTACAATTATCCATGGAACGGTGCAAAGTTCTGGGTCACTTCACGGTAGGTGGTTGCTTTCCAAACAGTCATTTTTGTATGTACACAAGTTTGTGTGAGTATGAAAGGATGGAGAGGGAATGCAGAGGGCAAGTGAAATGACAGATGGATTAGCAGTTGGCCAGTGGGATGTGGTATTAACAAGTTAGCTTTAAAGAGAATCTCCATTTATGTGAGATAAACTTGTCATAGCAAGAGGAAGCACAGTACAAAATGCACATGGTTTGAAACATACACACCCAGGTAAGAAATATGCCTCTGTTATTAACTAATACATGACCATAGTAAGTTACTTTCTCTTTGATCCTCAGTTTCTTCAACTGTGAAATGGGGATAGCAATAACTACCAAATAGTTTTGGGGAAAAATGCAAACATCGGTTGCACATGAAGAATTTAGTGTGAATTCATGTTCAATAAATAGTAGCCATAATCAGTTGAGTTTCACTGTCATCCCTCATTATATTTTTCTTTTTAATTTTTTTTTTTGAAGCAGTCTTGCTCTGTCCCCCAGGCTGAAGTGCAGTGGCATGATCTCGGCTCAGTGTAACCTCTGCCTGCCAGATTCAAGTGACTCTCCTGCCTCAGCCTCCCGATCTTTTTAATTTTTATTAAGTATTTCATTCATCTTTTTAATAGGTAGTATCTGCTCCTGGTAAAAATTCAAAAGTTCTAAAAGAGTACAGTAAAAAAAATGAGCTTCCTTTTCTCACTTGGCAACTTGGTTCCCCTTCAAATATGCAAATCCTGTTATAAGATTCTTCAATATTTTTCTAGAAGATATGTGTATTACTCCTTTTATTTCTCTCACAAGTGGCAGCATACTATATATTTTTAATTTTTTATTTAATTTACTTGAGATCACTGCATATAAATTCAAATAAAACTCTCTTCTTCTTGTTCTCCTTCTCCACTTCTCTTTTTTCAAGTACATAATATTCCATTGTATCATAATTTGATTGGCTAGTCTCCTACCACTGGACGTTTGGGGTGATTCTAATATTTTGCTATAGGGAACAGTAGTTTAGTTAATATCTTGGTAAAGAGTCATAGAATTGCAAGGTCAAGGATTATGGCAATAAATGCACCTCTAAAGATTTGTCACTGGTTTACATTCCCACCATTGGTATGTGAGGGTGCTTGTTTCCCCACACCAAATAATCCAGCTTCTCTTTTTTTGCATCTTTGGAAATCCAAGATGATAAAATATGATGCATTTTTTTTTTATTATGAGTAAGGTTGTGTGAATCTTTTCATACATTTTAAGACCATCAGGGTTTAAAAAAATATTTATAAGGTGTCTGCTTAGTTACCTCTTTCTACGTTTTGTCTGCTTTTCTATTGGGTGGTTTTGTTTTCCAAGGAGGTCTTTACTTAAGGAAATAGCCTTTAATTGTTATAGTAATTATAACTGTGTTAGCTTTTGTTTTTTTTTTTTTTTTTTAGTTTTCACTTTGTGAAGATTGTGTATTTTTGTAGTTGAATTAATCGGTCTTTTCCCTTTTGAGGTTTACTCATGTACAGACCAATGATCCACACTGATTATTTTAAATTTCTATTTTGTTCCATCTAAAGTTTGTTTTGTTGTAAGGTACAATTACAAGGCAGAGATTCTGTTAAGTTTCCTAAACATTATTTAATAATAATTGGTCTTTTTACCACTGATTTGAAATGTCCCCCTTTCATATATTAGATTTTTATATAAATTTTGGTTTATTTTGGTGACCTTCACTCTTTTCATTACCCAATCAACCTACTGATAAACCAGTAACACAGTTTTAATCAATATAGCCTTATAATAGGTTTTATAGGTTTTCGAGCTTTTCTGTGCAATTATGTATGTTGTACATAGCTCATTCTCAGGACCATTTTATTATATGTTTAATGATACCTCCCTTTCCTTCACCCTCCAAAACTGTCCAGTGCACATTCTGCATAACTAATGAGCCAACCTACAATTATTTAAAAATTTCAGAATTTCTTGGGTATTATCACTTGTTCATTTAAAATGGATTTTTAAATCAGCTTATATAGTTTCACAAAGTCTTATTGACTTGTGTTTTTTTAACTGGGATTCATTAATTTTACAAATTAATTTAGGTAGCATTGATACCTACCTCATCCCATACCAAAAAATAAAATCAATTCCAGGTTAATTTTATATGTAAAAGTAAAAGACAAAAATTTAAGATAACATATAGTCAAAATATCTTTGACTTTAATAGAGAAGGTATATAAGAAAAAGACAGACAACCTCAATAGAAAAAGAGAGAACCTCAATAGATAAAAAGGCAAAATACATAAACGGACATTTCACACAAGAGGATATCTGAATATTCAACTTCATCAGAAATCAAGGAATACCAATTAAAAAGCCTCAGTGAGATACTGCTTCACACATACCAGACTTACAAGATTAAGACTGACAATATCAAGTGTTGGTAAGATGTGGAGGAATGGTAACCCTCCCGCATTTCTGGTGGGCATATAAATTGGTATAATCCCTTTAGAAAATGGTTTAAATGTTATCTATTAAAATTGAAAATATATTATCCCATATGATCTAGCTACTCAACAGAAATGTGTACATATATGCACCATAATTCATATACAAAGGTATTCACAGCAACCTTAATAGCTCTAAACTGTAAGCACTAAGTATACATCAACAGTAGAATAGATGAGTAAACCAATGATTGTGGTATTTGTATATAGGAAAATACTGTATAGCATTAAAAATTAATGACTGCAGCTACATGCAACAGCATGGATGAATTTTCCAAACACAATTTTAAGTGAAAGAATTTAGATGCAGGGAATACATACTGTGTTATTCAACTTGAATTGAGTTTTAAAAAGGCAATACTAATCTATGATAACGGTAGTGAGAATAGTGGTTACTTTTGCATAGGAGGGAAGGACCAATGATATAGAGAGCTTAAGATGGAATTTCTGGGTGCTAATTATGTTCCATTTAATTTAGGTGATGGTTACATGGGTGTGTTTATTTTATGATAATTGATTGAGCTGGCACTTATGATTTATGTTCCTAACTGTGCTTTAAAACACGTTAACGTATATGTATGCATACAAGTAAATATAGCATTTTACCTTTAATCTGCTTGCTATTTCATTACTAACAAGTTTTAAAAGTCAACTTATTTTACATATTTTATAATAAATATTTTTAAAATCCATTAGTTTCTTGTCTTATTCCTTTTTCCTACTTCAATGTGCATTCAATTTCAGGCCTTTTAGGTATTTAGTCATTTATAAATAACATTCTTATATTGCTATTTATTCATTGGTTTCATCTGTAGATACTCTCTTCAGATTCCTGTTATGGAAAATAAAAATTTAGTTGTCCTATGCAATCCCTCCACACTCTTTCCTCCCGTCTTCCCAATACAGTTACATAACAATTACTGAATAACTCATAATTAAGTGTTTAAAAATTATGACAATAAATATATTTTGCATATGATTATATAAATATTATTCACAAATCACTAATGCATTACATTTTATTTTTTATTAACTCTTGTTTTCCCGGAGTTAATACTTAACCTAAGAATATCTTAATCTTTTCCAATCTACCTGACAGTCCTTACCATTGACATAAATGTATATATTTTATACATTTCCTCTAACTTGTTTTTCATAGTTATTAAAATATCAATCATACAACTATTGTCTTCATGAAGACTCCCCAAATGGTTATATTAATGCAGAAACTCAATTCATTGTTCTCTAGAAAACTACCTTCCGTAATGTTTCCTCTGCAGTTTGGTTCACAGCATCATCTAATAGAGATACCTGTCTCCACCTTTTCTGCCGCATGGAATCTTTCATTGAGGTCTGCCAGTTCCTCCTCACAAAGTTCTCTTGTATCTGTTCCAGTGTCTTCCTTTTCTCTCTTTTCCTCCCTGGCTCTAGCGTGGCTGATCAAATAGACTTCTGTCTGGTTTCCTGGTTCCAGTCTATTCACACATCAGCCCTTTACATCATTAACAGATTTATTTTTCAAATCACAGGTCTGATCATATTATGTTGCTGGCAAAAACATTTTAGCAATGTATTTTAAAGACAATTATAATGCTATGCTACCGTAAGATAACATAGAAAAATTCTTATGATATCATGGTAAAGTGCTGAAAACAGAATTGTTTATAAGCTGCAAATTAAAATCTTGTAAAAGTTAGCATATACTTTAGAAGGAAATATATCTCACTGTTCATTGTGAGGGTGGGAGAGGAGGAGTTTATGGATTTTTTATTTCCCCTAACAAAGGAGAAAGTGTGAAGCCTTTATGAAACTGTCTGTGAACATACACACAAAATTCTACCCAAGTAAGTCTCCAGATGCTTCGCAGACATGGATAAGACGATCCCCAAAGGATGGTGTATAGTTTAACCAGACAGACAATGGAGGGAAGCATATTCTAGGCAAAAGAAACCCCTGGGTAACAGCCCAGAGCATGAGAGAAAATGCTGGCCTCAGGAAGCTGCAGTTTGGATGGAGTTGGATGCATATGGGGAGGGAGTAGCAGATAAGGCTGGAGAAGTCAGATGATCATAAATCCCTCAATTGATGAGAAGAGTGTGGATTTATACTGCAGGCCATCATGAGGAGCCACTGTAGAGTTTCACAGTACCAGAATATGATCAGATTAAGAATCTAGAAAGCTCCCACTAGGAGAGAGGTCTGTGGTGATCACGCCCAAAAACAGAAATTCTGGGAAATTCTACTATTTCAATGACTGATGACACACTAAGCACCCAAGAAAGCCAAATAAGAAAGGGCAGAGAAAAAGGGAGAAAACTGGGACGGTCATGTGACACTGAGAGAGGAGAGTTTTGAGGAGGGATTGGTCAAGTGTCAAATGGACAAAACCAGAAAAACATTATCGATAACTTTAACAATAGGGGTTGCAAGATAGAGGTAAATAAGCCAGATTATGGTAGCTTCAGAAAGCCCACCTGTTGTATTTCCAAGGCCCAAGGCAAAAGTATGAATGGAGGCAAACTTACCCCATCTCAAAGCTAGGAACCAGTAGAATGAACTGTTAAATGTGTTCTATACTCCCAACTTAATAAATATACCTTGTAATCACCTGGAAGGCTTGAATTTCAAACTCTTGCATTCCAGAGTTCTGCTCTAGAATATGATTGCTTGGAGAGGTCAATCTGAATACCCTGCACCTCCAACAGAAGATCCTCCTTTTTCTTCCCATCCCAGTAAACCTTATATTGTGAGGAACTCTGTATACACACCTGTGTGTGTGACCACTGCAGCTACAAACCCAAACTCTGTCCACACCTCTTTCCCTGCTAACACCCAACCTATGGCCACTCCTTGGCTTGAGGTATGCCCACTAGCAGTGTGCTCTACCCTCTAGAGAACTGACTGGAGAAGCATCCCCACCCAGAAAAAAGATGGAAAAAGCATATTTACATACTTGGAGGTAAAACACATGCTTGAGAGAGTAAGAGATGGGGAAATAGAGTATTTGAGAGCGTGAAAAGAGTGGAGTGGCTCACAGAGCAAGTCCCTGCAGGAGGTAAGAGGGGTTAAGATCTAGTGCAGAGATCTGTGAAGAGGGCCTTGGCCTTTGCAAGGAGGGAGGGAGGGAAACTATGAATGCAGATCAATTTTTAGGTGGAGAGGGAGCTTAATAGTTGTTCATACTCTAGGCTTTCACTTTCTCTGTGAACTAGGGAAAAGCAGGATTGAGACAAATGAGGAGAGTACGCCTGACTAAAGCAGTTAGCTGCAATTCTTAGAGAACTCCTTATTGCAGTGCTTGGGAGAGGTACTCAGACGAGTGAAAGACCACCAAGTGGTCTTCAGGATTAAGCTGAAAATAATTCCTGGTTGCTGCAAACTGTGTGACCATGGGATGGATTTTTCTTGGCTGTGAAGGAACAGGAGACATAATGTTCACTACAAGGTAAATGCAGGATCATGCTCAAAGGTGGTTTGGTGAACATTTAAAGGGAAATTACATAAAGATTTCTGAGATTTTTTTTCTTAATATCAAGTCTCTGAAAACAGAAATGGAAAAGATCTCCTTCCTCTCCCCAAGCAAAACTGCTTGTTAGAAGGGACTCCAAGAATGCATGCCTCATTTCCAAAGTCCTGGGTAAGGAAGAGAGCTCTACTTCCCTTAAGAATTATTTCAGAGCCTAACAGTTATTGTAGCCAGGAAGCTTATTTTCTCTCCTCCTGATATTCAGTCCAAATTATGTTCTTCTTGATTTCAACCTATTATTGTTAGTCATTTCCTCATGGTTAGCTTAGGAATCTCTATCCCTTCCTGGTATTTACACCTTCCAAATATTATGTCGACTTATCACCTGACCTGGCAATAACTGTTTAAAAATACATTTTTGGTTTATATATAGGATGATGGTTTTACATCCTATAAACACACTATACATGGATGTCTAGGGAGTAGGGAAAATACGCTTTTGTGTGAGTGAAAATATGTTGGCCATATATACCTGATATATGTAATTATAATCTTCATAATCATTCATTTCAGATTTGCCAACTTGCACATGTGGAAATGTTCAATTTGTAATGTGATTATAACACAAAAACAAAGCATGTTTGATACCTGTGGCTTGGTCGTTTCATAGTAACTGCAGAAAATTCAAAAAACCGTGTTACATTTCATATTCCTGGCCAAGTCAAACTCTGAAAGTAGCTCTATAATTCTTGGGGAATCTCTTTAAGCAGACTTGTGTCAAGGTCAATTAGAATCCAAACAGCCTTTTTCTAATTGGGGTGAGGTATGCAGTTGAATAATTCTGTCATTAAGCAAACCCCTTATAAAGGTTACAACTCCAAGGCAAACCTCAGCCCCAGGGCTGAATAAACACAGGAGAATAAGAGTGCAGCATTCCACGACTGGCACCTTCACCTCATAATCCCTGAGGAGAGGGTTTTGGATTTCTTTCTGTGCTATTGCCATCCACTTCTCCTTCTACCCATGCCATTTCTCATACCTGGTAAGGATATAACAGAATTAAGGGTGCAAGTGTAACTTTTCTATTAGCTTTATCCTTGTCAATAAGCCATACTGTTTTTCCTTCTTTAGGATGAGAATAATGGAGAATTCTACAGAACTGGTTCAATTTTTGGGTAAATCCGTATTGACTGTGGCATTCTTGGTTTATTCCAATTTGAACTCTTCTGTCTTTCTAAGACTTATCTCTCCCTAACTTTTCTCATTCCCCCAAGCTCAAAGATACATATCTTTGTTCATGCTATTGCTTCTGACAGCGATACTTGATCACTCATAAAACCTCACAGGCTTGAGAAATTGGCTGACCTCGCTCAAATCCTGTCTCCACCAGTTATAGCCTGTGTGACAATAGGTAAGGTATTTAATGTTTCTAAGTCTCAATTTCCTTGGCTGTAATGGGTTTACTTTAATAGTAACCTTACGGTTTTGTTTGGGGGAAGTAGAATTAAATTAATATGCTAAGTGCCTAATAAAAATAATAATAATCATCATCATAACTAATTTTGCGGTGTAGGCAGGTATTCCCGAAAAAGAGACTTAGAAATGGAGACTTATATGCAGGAAGTTTATTGGGGATTGTTTTTGGAATTAACACCTGTGGAAGTGAAAGAAATTGAACTATGATGCAGTCACAATAAAAACCTCAGCCTGTCTTCTGGAGAGCTCGGGAGCTGGGAAGGCCTTTAGAGTTGTCGCAAATCATGGCGAGGGGTCTGGTTCTTTAATTCCAGCATCTACTGGTCGTTGGATAAGGAGTGGTGCTGCAGAGGAAGCATGGTCTTGGATGTCTTTGAAGGACTGACGAGTACCGAAGTAGAGACATATGGATAGCACACTACGGTATTCAATAGAGACTATTCTTGCTGGGAGTGGTGGCTCATGCCTGTAATCCTAACACACTGGGAGGCCAAGGTGGGCTGATTGCTTGAGCTCAGGAGTTCGAAACCAGCCTGGGCAACATGGCAGAACCTTGTCTTTACAAAAAAAAAAAAAAAAATTAGCCAGGAGTGGTGGTGTGTGTCTGTAGTCCCAGTTACTTGGGGGCTAACGTGGGAGGATTGCTTGAGCCCAGGAGGTCGAGGCTTCAGTGAGCTAAGATCAGGCTACTGCACTCCAGCCTGGTGACAAAGTGAGACCCAGTCTCAGAAAAAAAAAAAAAAGAAAAAAAGAAGAGACCATTCTTGGCATTTCTTGGATCCACTTCCTAGGAGCAACTCCTTCACAGTTCTGTTGGATGTCTTTTGCTGAGGAAACTTAAAAGAAGAGTGTTAGTGGTATAAACATCAGACACTGCTACTGTAGTTGGTCTTGAGTCTGCAACTGATACTCATTCTCTCCCATCTCTGTCATTTTAAATTCCCTTGGTTGGCACATGAAGGTTTAGATGACTTATCTTATGGCGATGATCCAGAATCTCATTGCCAAGAGGTCTGATCTCATTGTCACCATACCTTTGTTAGTCTGTGGTCACTTCATTTCTTCATTTACCATCAAAATTGGCAAGGGAGTATCAAGAGACACCCAGGTGGATCACATGAGTACTGAACATATTCCTTCCTGACCCCAGTGTATGACAGCAACTCTCTCTACTCGTGATGATCAAGGTTAATTATCCCTGCTAGCATAGTAATTTCTTTCTTTGCTCTTGGTGTCCTGACATGCAGAGACCAAAGTGATCAGGCAGCAACTGCAGCTCAAGGCTTAGTATAATGTCTCCTTCTGAAAGCACTTCCCTTTAGGTATTATAGTCCCTAAACTTGCAGGTATGGGAAGCACAAATTCCCCAAGTCAATAAAAGTAATGGCAGTAAGACCACTCCTGTTTTCTTTCCTTGGGTCTTGGACCCAGGTATTCTAAATATTAAAGACAGAGAACCATATAATGGTCATTGGTTTAGGTTATATAACTGCATCATGAAGTATCCTACTTTATGAAGGATAGGGTCTTATCTTCACGGTCTATCATCTCCAAGCTGGCTGTAATTGCACTATTCCATTATTCTATCAGGCCAGTTTGGTGGAGCAGTATGTGATATAACCAATGGCTCCCATGGCCCTGTGTCCACTACCACACTTTCTTTAGTCTAGAGTGTTCCTTGGTCCAATGTGATGTTATGTGGGATCCTGTGTTGGTAATCAAACTCTGTGCACTCTCAGCTAATGATGGTGGGTGAGGTCCTGCAAGCAAGAAATGCAAGTCCATACTTAGAATGCATGTATAAGATGAGTTGCTGCCCCTTTCGAGGAAGAAGGGGTCCAATATTGTCAACTTGCCACTAAAATGGATGTCCTTGAGATACAATACTATAAAGAGCACACAAGTTGGACTCTATTCCTCACAAGCTGGACATTTGACAGTGGAAATAGCTAGATAAGCTTCAGTGAGGGAGAGCTCAGGCTTTTGGTCCCATGCAGATTGTCCATTCCTTCATCAGGCTACACCATTCATGCATCTATTGTGCAAGTACTGGGGCTGCTGATGAGCAGTCTGGCTAACATCAGCTGACTAGGTCATTCATTCTTTTTTCTTCTTCTACTCTTCCAGCTTTATCAAGCTACAACTAACAAGTAAAATTGTATATATATGAAGTACACAATGTGATGATTTGATATGTGTGTATATTATGAAATGATTACCACAATCAAGTTAATTAACACATCCAGCATCTCACATAGTTACTTTTGAAATTTTATTTTGGTGAGATGCTAAGATCTCTCTTAAGACATTTCAAGTAAACAATACAGTATTATTAACAAGAGCCATCATGCTGTTCATTAGTCCAGGTTAGAATGTATACTAACCTCATAACTGATTGGATTGTTTACTATAGACTCTGAAGGAATCTGTAGCTTGGTCTCCAATGTAGTCACCGCTTCTTGATCTATTCAGTTTAACTAACATGGTATCATTGATATAGTAGACCAATGTCATTTTCTTCAGAGTATCCATATGGTCCAAGTCCTTGGGACAGGAAATGGGAGATTTAACATAGCCCCAAGGAAAAGAATATATGTAAATGATGTTGTGTGTGTCAAATGAATATGAACTGTTCCTGATCTTTCTAATAGGATTAGAAAAAAATTGCATTCACCAGATTAGTGGTCATATATAATAAAATGTATCTGAGGCTTTATTAATCTTCCCTAGCAAATACACCATATCTTGTATAGCAGCCACAATTAGGACTCGTTGAATTTTTAATGGTCCATTGTCATCCTCCATGGTTCATCCCTTGCCCAGTTTCCAGATCTGTGCTTACTTTATTCACTTAAAAAAGGTAAAAAAAAAAAAAAAAAAGCAAACAGTTAAATAACTATTATATGTGCTGTCAGCTTCCACCTCAACCTTAGTCCTCAATGCAATAATTGTTCCCACCATGCTGCTTCTGTTATTATTCCAGCTCGTATCATCCCCACTATTATCAGGAAGGACAGTTCTATGGACACATCTCCTATCATTGGCCCTGGCCTATAGAGGACAGCTATTACTGAACTTCTCAGTTGTAGTGGTTCTCTTCTCACCTGCACTTCTTTATCATCTACCTTCATGAAATGTATGCACTGCACATGACCATTACTCTCAACTTTTCTTTATTTATTCTTCCTCATCTGCCAGAATACCCTGGTAAATATACTTCACTTAGCATGGGCCATAACTTTCAGCAAACTTCCAAGAGCTATCTTAGCAACGTATTAGCTTCATCTCCCAAGGTCATTTTCCAGGGCTTTAAGTCCTATGTGGTAGTTGAGTGTTTCCATGTTAATCAACTCTTCCTAATCCAATTTTATATTCTACCCTCCTTAATCCAGCATCCTCAGAACCCAATTTTGTACATACTGCTCTGCCATCTGTTGGTATATGTTGGTTAGGTCCTGTCATGCCTTTGAAACCCAGACTCTTTCCTCCTTTAGCAGACTGCAGCCCTTCCCTCACTGGGTTATGTTGAGGCTCAATTCCAGTTATAGTAGTTTCCCTTATCCCGTGGTTTCACTTTCTAAGGTTTCAGATACCTGACGTCCCAAAATATTAAATAGAAAAATCCAAAAATAAATAATTTACAAGTTTTAACTAAGTTGCACACCATTCTGAGTAGCGTAATGAAATCTTACTTTATTTCTTTCTGTTCCATTCAGGACTGGAATGATTCGTTTGTCTGGCATAGTCCCACTTCATATGCTGCCCTCCTGGTGGTCACTTAGTAGCCTTCTTGGTTACAAGATCAACTGTGGTAGTATCCTGGTGCTTGTGTTCAAATAACCATTATTTTACTTAATAATGGCCCCAAAGAATAGTGGAGTAGTGATGCTAGTATATTATTATAATTGTTCTATTTTATTATTAATTATTGTTTTTAATCTCTCACTGTGCCTAATTTATAAATTAAACTTTATCATAGGTATATGTTTAGGAAAAAACTTAGCATATATGAGGTTTGGTACTATCTGTGGTTTCAGGGATCCACTGAGGATGCTGGAACATATACCCCATGGATAAGAGGGGCCTACTGTATTACCTGAAAAGACATAATGGGAGGTAGATCCTGAGAGGCAGATGGATTGTGCTGCAAACACACCTATGCATAATTTTCAGACAAGGGAAGAGTACTGTCCTTGAACAGGGAAGGTGGGCCACTTTTTCAGGTCTAAAAAGCTCTGGAGAATCTGGAGATTCAAGAGGTTTTCATGCATCAACACAATATCCCCACTTCAAGTCCATCATCCCACGGCTTCACACGTAGGGTCCCTACATTAGCCTTCCAGAAATGATCTCTTTTGGAGCTTTGTTACTCTTATAAGCCCAGTCCTCAGCTTTCTCTGCCCTCTGGCTGCAGGAGCTAAGAATCTTTTTTTAAGTTTCAAAGGAGGCTCACTTTCACACTTACTCTTTAAGTGGTGAATAACTTAAAACTTTCCCTTCCCCCAATATATCCATTGCCCACATCCATAGACATATAATTTGATAGTCCTTATAACCAATATTTCTCAAACCTATGATATATTGCACTTTTTAAAGTATATTCTCTTCTACCAATATATGCAATTATTTATCCATTACTGCATAACAAATAACCCTCCCACCCCCAAAATCAGTGCCTTGAAATAGCAATAAACATTTACTATTTCCCATAGTTTCTTTGGGTCAGGGATTCAGGAATGGTTTTGCTGAGCAGTCTGTAGCTCAGGGCTGGCCATGAGGTTCCATTCCATGTCATTCATGCCTGTACTTGTTAAAAGATTTGACTCAAGTGAAATAAATATTCACTACTACATACCTGGCAAAATATTCTAGCTGTTTAGCTAAGCCTCAAGGTCTCTCTATAGAGCTGTTTGAGTGTTCTTATGATATGGCAAGGGGCTTCCTCCCCAGAGAGAGTGATCTAAGATGCCAATACAGAAGCTTCAATGCACTAATACACATACCATTATTTTGGCAGTATTCCATTAGGCATATGGAACATGCTGGTTTAGTGCAGGAGAGAACTACATAAGGGCATGAAAACCAGGAGGCAAGGATCACTGGGGACTGTTTTAGAGACTGCCTATCACAGCATCCCATCCACGTTTACAACTCATGAAAATTTTAACATTCATACCACTACTGCAAACCAGTGATCACTGGCGTTCTCCTTATACACCTTTGATGGGGTCCTCGTTGCCAGTCGGCCAGCAGTAATCTACTGCCAAAATTTCATTTTTGAGCGTGCTTCCTTGGATGAATCTTGGCACCAAGTGACAGATTTCCTGGAAAACAGACTCTGATGAAGAGCTTTACATGTAAGAAGTTTATAGAAGGTGCTGTCAAATTTAACATTTGTGTGGAGGAGGGGCATTGGAAGCAAGATTGAACAGAGGGAGAATTGAATTTTTATGCAGTTATATCAAAGACCTCAACTGATATAAGAGGAATTCTGTAACTGTAATTCTGTAATTCTTTAGAGTTGTCCTGAATTAAGACAAGGAGATGAACCTTTATAACACCCCATCAAACAGTGATTAGATAGATAGGATATTATAAATGATATAAAATATAATATAATATTATAAATAATATCCTATCCATCAGTGATCTATCTATCTTCCATTATCTCTCTATCTATCCACCAGAATTTTACTACTTTCACCATTTCCTATTACTCTTGTCCAATGCACCACAGTACCTTATCATGGCCCACAGTACCCTTATGATCTGAACCCTAGCTACCTCTCCAGACTCCTCTCTGACCACGCTCCCTGTAGCTCACTCCCCTCTAGCACAAATGCCACTTTAACAGACAGGCCACATCTGCACACCTCATCTTAAATACCACCTCTAGACCCTCTATCTTCTTACACTACTATATTTTCTTTCATAGCATGTTATCATCCAGTATTATATTAGACATATATTTATTTATTTGCTATATGTTTATCTTTCTCACTAGATTGTGCTCTATGGAAGGTCATGGTTTAAAAAAAAATTCACCATTTATCCTCATTACCCAGAACTGTGCCTGATGTACAGTATGGACCTGATAAATATTTGTCAAATGAATGCATAAATTCATTATTAACTTCTTGGTGTTATAAGAGATTGCATCGATGACCTTTGTTAGAAATATTTGTGGGTTATGATTAAACTGATGAAGCCACAGGTCTCTTTTTATGTTCAGAATTGTCTTCTCTGAGTTAAATTTGGCTTTAATTTTTAAGACAAAAGGCAACATTCTGTTTTCTAAGTGGCCCTATTTCCTTTTGCATTGACATCCATTTTGGAACACCTATTGTACTGTGAACTTTGCTCTTCTGGAATCTATTGTTTGGCTTTGCACCCGCATAGAATCTCTTGGAATTAAAACAAAAGAGATTTAAAAGGATAGCGTATCACCCCATTTTCCATGGCTTAATTTCAACTCTTGGCATCTAAAATCTCAGGTATTCCCAAGACCAATCTGATCTGGGGACTGTCAGGGACCCTGCTCTCTCCATAGTCTCTCTGCTACACAGCTTTGTCATTGCTCCTTAGTGTAAATGCTGGGTGTTAGGGGAAATGAAGAGGAGCAAGGTCACTAAAATTTATTTATTCCTATCTGGTGTGTGATTTATGAGGATCTAAGTCTTTCTGTTATTATTTTGAAATGTTTATCCAAATTCAAACAATATTTACCTTTTAGACATACACCTCCGTAGCAGCAAATCTGCAGAGGTTATATGCACCTCTGCTCTAGTATTTATCCAAAGCCACATCCTTGTGTCTCTCCGAAACACCTAGGAGATTCCCTAGGAGAGTCATAGATAGGAGAGAAAACACTAGCACTTTGTAAGTCAAGTTCACAAATATTTAAGAGTTTTACAAAATTTAGCCAGGTGTGGTGAACACTTCAATTTTTTCATTTTTTTTCATTTTTGTGTATTTGATTAACCATGTTATATTACTAGAATGTAGTAAAATGTAAACTCCATGAGGGCAGGGATTCATTTCTATTTTTTTCACTCTATATCTAAAATATTTAGAACAGTTCCCAGCTTATACAGGCACTCGATACATAAATCTACCTGTCTTTCTTTCTTTTCCTTTCCTTTCCTTTCCTTTCCTTTCCTTTCCTTTCCTTTCCTTTCCTTTCCCTTTCTTTCTTTCTTTCTTTCTTTCTTTCTTTCTTTCTTTCTTTCTTTCTTTCTTTCTTCTTTTTTTTTTTTTTTGAGACAGAGTCTCACTCTGTCACTCAGTCTGGAGTGCAGTGGCACGATCTCGGCTCACTGCAACCTCCGCTTCCTGGATTCAAGCGATTCTCATGCCTCAGCCTCCCAAGTAGCTGGGATTACAGGTATGTACCACCTGGCCCAGCTAATTTTTGCATTTTTACTAGAGACAGGGTTTTACCATGTTGGCCAGGCTAGTCTTGAACTCCTGACCTCACGTGATCCACCTGCTTCATCCTCCCAAAGTGCTGGGATTACAGGCATGAGCCACCATGACCGGCCATGATACATAAATTTATTGAAAGAATTAAGATTGGCTATTTTTTCTGCTTGCATGAATTTGATATCTCTTTATATCCATGTTTAGTTATACAAAACATAAATAAAAATTTTATTACTTTTATTTTTTGTGCAGAAATAATCTAACCCTTTTAGAAATGTATTCTTGATTTTAGAAGTTGTCACAGAGTGTCTTGCCTTCCCTAATCAAGGTTTGAGATTTCAAGAAGTGTGAGCTTTTCGTCATCTCCAAAAATCTAAGAAAATTAGGATTTCACATCTTTGGAATGCCTGGTATTAGATCTAGGCTTACCAATAATTCATTTATTCTACAAATATTTATTGAGTTATATTTTATGTCAAACACTACCGTTGCCTAGAAGGCAGTAGCAGTTGCTTTCATTGATCTTATACTCTGGTGAAAAAGCTAGACATTGAACTAGCGAATTCAACTAAGATGAATGTTGCTGTAGGAGAAAACATTCAAAGAGATGACCTCCCTGAATAAATATACTTAATTTGAAATCCAAAGGCTGAGTTGAAGTTATCTAATCCAAGGGTGGCAGAACAAAGTGTTTCTGATAGAGGAAGTAGCAAGGTAAAAGGTCTCGAGGGGATAGAAATTTTGGTATATTTCTATTTTTGAAAGTAAATTTTATGGCCTAGAGTTCTGAGAGCAAGAAATGAAGTGGTACATGATGAGCCCGGAGAGTATGGCAAGACCCAAACTCCTGGTCTTGAACAAAACAGGGTTCTTGAACAATATTTGTTTTTAAACTGAGATCTGACAAGCCTTGTTTTAAACAGTGGACAACATGATCAGAATTGGTTGAAAAAGTAACTCTAGCTTTAGTGTGGAGAATGGTGTTAGAATGACCTTGGGAACACAACTTAGACGTCCTTTAAAATATCTTGCCTGAGAAACAATGGTGACTTGGAGTAGGATGGCATCAGTAGAGATGAAAAGTCTAGGGAAACAATGGACTATTTAGGGGATAGAATTGCCAGGACTTATGAAGGGTGGGATTTGGCAATTGAAGGAAAGGGCAGAGTCAATAATAACTTTCAGATTTTTGGCTAGGGCAATGGGCTAAATGGTGGGTACATATACTAAAACGGGAAATACTTGGCTGGTTAAATGGTAGTGCCCCCTTTCCCAGCACTTGGCTGACAGTCTTGACCATTTTGTCACTGGTACATCCAACCTGCTTGGCACAGCAAATTAGAGCAAGTATGGGTAAATGGACTCAAAAGGAATTGATGAAATTTTGTTGGGAGAACTTGAACTACAAAGACCCAGAAATGACAGAGAGATGCTGTTGGATACTGAAATGCTGTGGGAATATAAAGATGATATATTGTTGCTGCTCTGGCAAACCAGAGCCACATGCAAGTTAAAATTAGGAGGAGGCAGGGAAACCAGAGCTCTTACAGGCTAATCCGTTCTGTAGAGATAAATGCAGCAGACTTAAAGAGAGCAAGGGAGAGAAGAGACCATGCGGTTTCTGAGAGAAAGAGGAAGGGGGAGGAGATGACTGACACTATTTTGTTTTTCATGAAGCCTGACTGCACTGTTGAGTTCTGCAAATGTCTCCTTTATTTTTCAATAATCCACTTTTTAAAATAAGCTATGCTAGAATGAGGTTTTGCTCATTGCAACCATTTGATGTCTGTCCCAGATATTCTCATAAGGAAGAAGATTCCTATCTAACATACCAGTTGATATATTTTTCTTCTCTATATAAAGCTGCATCTTTCTTTACACAACTTACATGCAATGGTCCTTAGGAACCACACTGAATAATTTAAATTCCTTTACTATATGACTCTCCATTAAAAATCATAGGGCATCTCCTCTTCAAGTCTTTCATTCTCCACACAAAACATCCATAGTTACTTTAAATCTTCCTAATATGGTTTGATTTTCAGACCTCTCCCCAATTCTGTCACATTCATCTGAATATCTTATGATTTGTAAATGCTTTTAAAATAAGGGACTGAGAATTAAATGCAACACTTCAAGCTCAGAGTTGCATAAGACTGTCACCATCCGTTGTAATTTTGCAGCAACTAAATCTCTTTTCAGAAAATTCTTGTATTTGTGCTTTTTTAAAGCATAAATATGCTTCTAGAAAAAATGACCTTAAAATAAATTCTTTGATTTAAGACACTATCACTTGGTAAAATAAAAATTTTCTTGTAAGACATATAATGACATTGTTATTACCAGCTCCTTATGCCTTAGCTTCTGGCCTTCCAAGGAGCCAGCTAGAAGATGATATCTCCCTATCAAAATGAAATGTAAAATATTATACATTTTAAGAGAACAAGATTTCCTGAGCCAGACCACACCCAGTAATGCATGGAACTGGGGTAGCAGCTGAACTTCTATATAAATGAGAATACTGGTGGATTGAGTAGGTTTGGAAGAGGGATCAATATAAGGAAGGACAGTCAATGAGAGCTGAAAAGGTATTTGAAAAACATCAGTTAGAGGTAGCGGTTCTCTGCTGACAACGCATTTTTCAGGGCTACTAAGAGATAGATCCTTTCTTAAGATTAATCCAGGAGTGGAAAGCAGAGGGCATATAATTTCTGTTCTTCTGGTCATGGTGACCACTCATGACCAAGGAGGATAAGGATAGGAAGAATGCAGCAAAAATCTTTAAAACGTCAGTGGTTAGCTGCAGATTTATTGGTCTCTGCAGCCAGGCCCCACGAACTGGGACACCATTCTAAATATATTAGATAATGGGATACTTTAATATCTGATCCTGGAAAGGCCTTATAGAGGAGAGTCAATAATTGTTAAATTTCATGTTTTTAATGTGTGGGAAATTGAGAAGTAAATGTGAGAAGGCTTTTTCCGTAGTTACAGATGACTCCAGGAGCAGAGCCAAGCATAGGCACCTCTTCTTCAAACATAGTTCAATTTCCAGTCATGCTGAACCCTGCCAATTTCAAACTGATCCTATGTGTTGGCAATCTGTCCACACACAGTGATCATGCAACACACCTTCTGCATGAGGCATTAGCTTTGGCATGTGTCAGATGTTACCTCTGCCAGTAGAATGGCGGCCCTACTGTGGCTGAAGCTTATGACACAGAGTTTTCTCACTGTCTCTCTTAGCCAGATTTGCCTGGGGAAAGAAGTGCTTTGTCAGAATAAGGAAAGAATGAAAAAAAGATATTTTCTCACATCTTCTCAGGTCTGTCTTAGAGACACATTCTGGAGCTGTAGATTTCATTTAGCTTTCATAAGATCACAATGCTTAATCTCAGTAGGGTTATCAGTTCTGTCAGGTATTATAAACCCTCCAATCAAGGCAGTGGGAACCAGTGTTTCTATTTAATACCCGGAGAAATGGTGGAAGTCAGCGATTGATACCAACACAATGATGGGAAAAAGTGTCCAGAGGTGCTACTCACATAATCTCATTTTACAACATCTTGAAAATTCAATAGAAAGGACTCCACTAACAATACCATTACACACTACTGATTATTGTTCTCAAATGTTCCTAAAGCTCTAAAAGCATAACTTAACAATAAAAATGCTCTATAAATACATCTTAACAATGAACGTAACTGTATTTTTTTCCTTTAAAAACAAAAGCACAGTGTTAGTCACAAGTCATATAATTTTACTTAAGCAATTTCTTGGCTAAAAGTTCATTATCATTTTTAAAACATTATCTAAATCTAAATCTAAGTATAAATAAATGAGCTATTCCTTGACATTAGAAAGTGTTTCCAAATAATTTAGAAAAGGTGAAGAATATTGCATCTTGGATTAACTACTACTTATTTAATATGTGATATTTATTTTTAGATATATTTTGTTTATCATGAGATTTGTCTTGTTTGCAAAGGCATTTGGAAAAAATAAGCAGAATTTCCTTGCAAAAAAAATATATAGTTTTCAAATTTCCTGCTATTTGTGTCTATGAGTCTTAGTTTTATCTTTATCCATTAAGATTTTTGGAATAACATATTTTTTAAATGAGTTAAAATTGTAGGAAGTTACTGCTATATCCTGTCCAAAAAACAAACAAATAAACAGCTGAGAACTATACATGCAAAGTATGCATTAGCTCTTGAAAAAGAATTACAAGCTAGTTTAGAAAAATATATTTTGTGCTTCCTGTTTGTACTCATGTCATGGAACATAACAGTCTACACTACCAAGAAAAACTGCCAATATTATTTCCCTAAGAATATTATAGTATTGTATTCTGCAATTGAAAGAACAAATAAGTAATTTTTGACTTAATATCAATACTAAAATATCTAGCCTATTAATCTTCTAGTTGGTAGTTCTAAATTTTAAATTATTTGAATGTTTTTGACAACAGTGAACCATAAAAGTAAGAACATCCTTAAAAAGATTTTCAAAACTATTAGGAAAATCCATGTACTTTTAAAAACTTCATATTTATATTAAAACCCATTTTTAGAGTGTCATATGGAATTCTTTGAAATTTATTAAGACTTAAAAATGTTTATGCAAATTAAAATATGAAGAGCAAAAATTTAAAAATAAAGCCTTTATGTTTTATTTAATTATTTAATAATGTCCTAAAGAGTTGTATATTATATATTGTTATATTCTAATATTGATGAAGCTGATGTGTCATTCTTAAAATATATCCAGAATATCTTTTTCATAGCTGTATTAACAGGAAAATTCTCTAAGACCTGTTTTCTACTATAAATCCAAAAAACTATCTGCTTTCATTTTGTGTAAATTCTTTTGGAAATGATTATTTTAGGCTATATTCTTAGATGGTAATTTTATGTATTCAGTCAGATTTGTTTACAGTTTTTATAAACAACATTTATTGGAGAATGCAAGAATCATCAGAAGAGAAAGTTTTAACTCCCTCAAACATAATAAAATGATCAAACGTTTGGAATAGAAACAAATTGTAAAAATGTGTCTTAACTGAGACACATCGCCCTAAGGAACCATGCCTTTGTGTTTGATGATTCTTCCATAAAGCTGAGTTTATTTTTAAAAATTGACCCTTTTAATGTAAGAAGGTTGATGGAGAAAGAATTTCACTTATGAGTTTTTCCACTAGACACTATAAAACTCCATCATAGCACCTTGCATTTTTGGCATCTGCAATTGAACCCCACAGCTGAGTGTTGCCAGATCTTATTTTGAAAAATGGGGTTGTGTCTCTAGGATGCAAATCATCTGGATGAAAATTCAAGTAAAATAGAAAAACCTGCTTGGTCATAGAGGCCCTATTTGAGTTTAGCAGTGAGAAGATCAAAACTTCAATGAGACATGAAGGAAGTTATGGGGAGAAAAGATCAAGAAAAGAGGAAAAGGCAATAGCAAAAAGAGATGGAAAAGAAAGCTAGGTTTGGTTTGGAAAGACAGATTGCATCACATGCTTCTTGGTGCTTTTTCACTCAAATAATGTTGCCTTCACCTCAAATACTGAGATATCTTGTCTGCAATGTAGACTGTGTGTGATCATGTTGGTTGGAAATATTTCGACAATTGATTTAAATTTTTATTTTTCCTTTGGATAGCTAGTGACATTTTAACACCATTTTCTTTGCTGAAGAAATTGAGATTATTGCATATTAATAAAGAAAAATTTTCTAAAACAGATTTGAATATTTAAAAAAGATACTAGAATAAAACTTTAGTTAACTTGAAAATACAAGTGGGAAACTTTTTGGAGAGCTGGATCATCCTTGATGACTTTTAATTAAATAAAAACTGAGGACTTTCCTGTTTCCAAATATAATGTTTATAATGTGAAACTATTCTTTATTCTTTTCCATTTTATTTATAGGTACTGTATTTATCCAAACTTTCATTTTACAAGGTTTTACATTAAAATTCTAATGAACTATGTACTCACTTTGCTGAACAACTTGGTCAATCTGGAAAGTAAAAGCATTCTAGAGAGCTCAACCTGCATGGGTGGTGCATATGAAATTCAATTTTGTATGTGCTTTATCTTTCTAAGGACAATGATTCAAAACCAATCTTGTAACCAGCAGGAGCAGAGGAGTGTCATAAACTAAGGAATTCTAAATAATTCATGGATGTGCATGGAAATAATGTTTTAAAACTGAAGTCAGAAGCAGCTGCTACGGGAAGGTTTTTTAAAAAGAGTCACAGACAACGATCATATTATTTCAGGTTAGCTCACACCATTGTGCACATTTACAATGCAACGTCTGTATGTTTCCATTTGTTTGGGAAAGAAAATTTAGGAGATTTAAAACACACAAACACTGCAAATATAAAGAATCTCTCCACTTCTTATAGACAGTCTGTACGTCTCAATAGGAAGAAACACTGTTGCGCTGGCAGAATCTACTCTAAAATGTAATTCTGTATGTTTCAAAGTTCATCTAAACCTTGGATCTTAGGCCAGACAGTCCCTATTCACAAAGTAAGTACAAAAATAAGACAAGTTATTACTTTTCATCTTCCTCCTTTATTTCACAAACCCCCCTATTCTGATGTAGGATTAGGATAAGGGTCATTGCAGATGGTTGGCAACAAATACAAAACTAGTCATTATCCAGGTAAGCCATTCACAATTCTAAAACTGAACAATGATATAGAAGCAAATTATTTATTATTAATAATCCCCAGGTTAGAAGTGTGAATGCAGTAATGGAAAAAGGAAAGTAATCAAAACTGTATGAGGATAAATACTCAAGTAAAACAGAATATTATTTAAGATCTCATTTGGAAAGGAGATAACTGATCACTATATGAGTGGAACCATTCATCTTCAATTTACTTAAATTGCTTTTACTCCAGGCTCCCATTTCATGGCAGAACTGTTGTTCTAGCTCCGTGGACTGACGTGAAGATAATACTTATAAATATATTTGCCACTGGACTTAGATATTAGAAGAATCTAAATTACCCTAACTTTTCAAATAAAATAATGAATCACAGTGAACAAAATGCTTTATGAAAATAACTTAGTAATATCATAGATTAAATAATACATTCTTGAAAGTAACTTTTATATTAATATTTTATATTAATATTTTACATTCATTTATATTAAATATTTTTCTTGAATGATGGTAATGTTGACCCTGTAACAAAAAACAAATTATCTGTCTTTAAAATTTGGGAAAGAACTAGCTTCTTATCTCTTAAAACTTAGTATAAATTACCAAATTTATAATTTGGAATCTCTGTTTCTACCATAGTATGTATTTGATCCTATTTAAAACAAGAGGTTATAAAAAGTATATTATGAGGTTTTTTAAAAAAGATATTGAGAATACTAAAATAATTTATATTGTTGAATGCTAAAATGGATTCTAGTATTTTAAGCAGCAGTTATTGCTAATCAGGATTTAGATAGATTTCTTAATGCACATTGCTATGTTACTCTAAAATATTGGCCTTGTTTTAACACAGATCTATGTATAGTCATAAGACTGCAAATAAGCAAAATTCAAGTTAGAACTAACTTTTAAAATATATACCCGAAATTGCCATTTTTTTCTTTTATGTTTTTTTCTTTCAATTATCCAAGGTACTGTTTTCTGCTTTTATTTAGTATTGGTCTGATACTTTAAAATATCCTCTGTGAAGTTGACTCAAATCAAAGCTAAGTATTTCATCTGGTCTGTGACCTCCATTAATCAGCTCTTCCATAAAATTACAACTTAAAGCAATGCTACAATCTCCCCTGTGAATTGTAGTTCAAGGACAAGAGTCACAATATATACACCACATGACTTAGCAGTAGAAACTTGGTGAGTTGTGAGGATATGGATTCAATCCTGATTTCACTGAGCACTTAGAACTTCTGTTTTGACCATCTTGCTGTTCTGCGTTGATTTGCCAATACAGATAATATGCACAGGGTGCAAATGTGCAATCTTTTCTTCTTTTTCTTTTGGTCTTTTTATCTTTTTTTGTCGGGGGGAGGGTCTATTTCTCAATCCTGAAGTTCCCCTCACAGCATTCTCTTCAGTTTATTGAAAGAATGTGACATGAAGGAGAAGGTACTTTGTATGTTTCCTATCATGTGAAAAAAGCTCACTTCCATTTGCACATAGGTCAGCAAGGAGGTTTCATCTCCTTTACCAGCTTTCATCTCTGTAACAGCTACTTGTGAGTTTTGTTGTGAAGTCTCATCCAGGCTCTGAGAGAAAGTGTGCTGTGATCAAGGGAAGATGCCTACCTCTGAGTGCAGAAGTGAAAAGTTTCCATTCTAGATAGAGGGGCAAAGTTCTGCAAATGACCAGCTATGCTTTACTGAAAATCAGAAAATAATTTTGAGTTATTTATATGTCTATTTCAACTGATCTCCGGCTCTATCTGAGGAAAATAAATACAGCCTATAAAAATAAGCGTCAATAGCTTTTAAAGTCAGAAATCAATGATGGAATAAGTCCTCACTTGGACAGGAGTTAACTTACTTTTGCCTAAAGCTAAACAGAAAAAAAAATCATTTAATCATGTTTCAGCACATTAAAAAAATTAGTTGACAATTGGTGGTTACTTGGGCTTGGGCTCAGCTATCTGTAGTGAACATTATTTTGGATTTGGGTTGCAGGTACTATAGACAGAAGAATAGGGGCATACCAAAAACAAACAAACAAATACTCCCAAAAACAAAAATGAGAAAAACCAAGTTTATTCAGTCAAAAGAACCATTTATTGATCAAAAAGAAATTTGGGAGCATTTCAAGAAAACATGTACATATTCTGAAAACTAGTTATGATTGAACTCTTTATTCAGTGAGATTGAAGATTTTTTCAAGTTTAGATTTCTTTCTGGTAGGGAGAAACACTATTGTCTTCATTTCAGAAGTAAAGGTTTACCTACATCCCCCACCCCCACCCAATGTAAGACGTTAAGACATTATCCAAGTATTTTGATTATATTTAATGGTTAGAAACATTTTCCACTCCAGGTCTGATTGGTCTTGACTGCTGTGTTGCTTTTTACTTGGAAAAATAGCTAAGGAGTAGTCATTGCAGTCATTTAAAAAAATATTTCTTTTTTCTAATTGTATTCACAAAGCAAAGAAGAGAACTTTTTTTTTCCAGAATGGAATATGTAAATTTTGAAATATGCTTCCATAAATTCTCTCACATGTATACAGTCACTATTTCTCATCAGTAGCATATGTACAGATACAGCAGTCCACAAATGTGTCTGATTATTGAGCCCATCAATTTCACTCATACCAAATAAAGTAGTTTGACTTTATTATTTACATTATTCTTAAAATATGCAGTCTATTGACCACACAAATAAACACGGGCTTTTGGATCAGCATAAAGCCTGGTGTTTATGAACAGGGTTCTTTGTGTTTTTAACAATATCTGGCACATTTAAGCAAAACTCTTTACTGAAACTTGGAGCCTGGATAATTGTGTGCTTCGTGATCTATGCCCAGCAGGGGCCCCAACTCTGCTCTTCAGGCAGACAGGAATACAGAAATCTATTATTGTAGTTTGACATTTTCTTTGAATGATTAGGTCAGTTGGTAAATCTCCACTTCACAGTTCTTAGAAGCCCAGATTTCCCTTTATAAAGCAATGTGGTTCTGATTATAGCATTATTGAAATCCAGACATAGTACCTGTGTTCTGCTAGCAGTTCTACTTCTTGCTTTCTTTGTTAACATAAGCAATATATTGACCCTCTCTCCCACTTCTTTGCCTTCAATGGATGAGAAGATTGAGAAACCTGGGGCTTGTGGTGAGGAGAGTGAAGACAGAGTAAATATTATGCACATTTCAAGTTATGGTACGATGCTCTAAAGTTAGAAGAAGAAAATAATAATGAATATTACTAAAAGTAAAAATGTTCTTGTAGTGTAGAGCTATGGCTCATCTGTTTTGTACTTTAATTGTGACTGTCACCAACAAGTTCAGTGTGTTAGACAATATAATTATATTTCAGAGGAAGACCACCAAAGATTTCTAGATATACCACGAAAAGCCCTAATTCTACCCGGTATTGTGTGACAATTCTGGTTTGTGGCACCATCTTTGTTCACCTGACTTATATGGTAACTTTCTAATTCCTCTTTCTTCTTCAAGTCTTCCTCTCCTATAGTTCATTCCTTACATAGAAACCTGAATTTTCTTTCAAAATTAATGTAAATGAGTTAGCTTCTGTTTGCTGCTGGAATCCTCCAGTGACCTCTCATTATACTCTAATCAGCATCCAAACTCCTTTCTGTGACATCAAAAGCTTAACGTGAGCTGGGCTGTATCATTTCCCTGACCTCAATTCTTACCACTCTTCCTCTTTCACACTATGTTCCATGCACAATGGCCTCGTCCTGTCTTGAAACCCTCAGGCTGGTCATTCTCTCTTCCTGAAAGACTTTTTTCCTGCCTCATTACACTACTAACTTCTCATTCATCCTTGGAGTTCCAGCTGGTCCATCATGTCACCTCCTCAGTGAACTCTTCCTGGTCACCTAATCTAAAGAAACCTCTGAGGGATTATCTATCATCCTACCTTATTTTATTTCCTTTAGGGCACTTATTAGTCTCTAATATTATCTAGTTGCTTTATTGTCTCACGTGTACATTTTTTGTCTTTCTGTACAAGAATGTGTGCTCCCTGAGGAAAATATCTTATTCATCGTGGGCCATTGCCTGGCCTGGCATAGTTACCCAATGGGTGAAGCAAAGAGCAAATCATTGAATTTATCTAAACTCTCTAGTCAGAATGAAGCTCAGGAAGGGTTCCAGAGTCTCCGTCTACTACAACCAACTCAGGGTCCATGAATTTTCCTTCACTTGCTGCCACAGTTGCTTTGATTCTTATGAGAGCCTTACATTCATTTAGTTTCTATTAGTACCTAGAAAGAGAACCGAACACATTCTAGATGCTTGGTCAATGTTAATAGAATTGGAATCTTAATATTTTATTTTCAGCAAGTTGAGCAACCTTAGGCTTGCCATATACTTTATTAACTCTACTAAAAAAGCCAAGCTTGTAAACATAAAAAGAAAATATAGTGATAACACTCCCCCCAATTTTTATGTCAGCAACACACTTTTCTATAATTGCTGAAATATGAAGGCTAAGCCAGCTGAAAGTTAAAAATAATACTTGGAGTTTTTAAAGGAACATATTTCAAAGAGTTTTTACATACCACTGCACTGTATCTGTTCACATAGAATTTAAGGAAGTGTTCTTACATTCCCTTTTCCAGACAGAATCAGTGTCAGGTGACTCATCCAAAGTAAAGGAAGCACCCTGTGTTTCTTGTCCCCCGCCTCACTCGCAACCCTTCCCTCCTCATCTCCTGCATCTTTACCTTCCTGTCTATTTACTGTTTGAATGTCTTTGCTCTTTTTGGTTCCCTTTAGATTTTCTTAAAATGGAATTGATGGTCTTGTTTTTCAACATGTTGTTTAAAAGCACACACAAACAAAAGACACAGGAGTGAAAAGAGGGTGATGTTTGGGGAATAGAAAAGAAAGGGAATAGGGAGAGATTGTGGTAAAAATCAGGAGATCCTCAGAAATTCAAGGAACCTTTTTACCAAAGAGGGCAAAGGCCAGTGCTAGATGAATAACTCCTTTTCAATGTTAGCCAGAAGGAAGATTGTGAATGACTAGTACATTTACTCATCATTATGGCAGTGCTCCCTCTATTGTATAACCAGAACCTCCATGTCCTATTTCTAAGCCATCCTGTGAAACACACAGTTGAGGTCATTTAAATGCTTTAGCTATCAAGTACAATTTCATGGGCTGCTAAAGACTGTATTTTCAGATGTGATGGATAAAACATAGTCATTTACTTCCTTTTGTGCTCTCATGTCTCCATAACATCATTTTTTATTTTTCTGTGAAGGATAAAACACACTCTTAAGGGTGATAGGGTTGTGGCCAACTAATAAGAGTAGCAAGGATGCCTGTCCTGATTCCACAAATGAAGAAGCATTAAGTACAAGACATGGGCAAACACCTAAGGAGATTCAGGCCATTGGTGGTGGGAAGGGCTCTGAGTTGGCTCACTGGACTGTATTGCCTGCACCCACTGCCAAAGCCTAACTCTTAATTCCCACAAGTAGAAGCAAGGATAAAATTACAAAACACTGAAATGTGGTTCCCCAAAGATATCTTGTAGACATTTTGTTTTTCCCCATATGGAAGGGTTAAGTGATAGGAGGAAAATGGCCTCAAATATTTGAGAAAATGCTATATAGAGACAAGTATGAATAATTAGGGAAAGAGCTTCTTCTTTTTTTTTTTTAATGAAAAGCTGTGGGGGTTCTATGTATTGGTGCATGGAATACCTTCCCAGTTCCAGCTACATCATTTGTGGGCAAAGTACAGAGCCTCAGTTTGACATCTTAAGATGGAGATGACATCTGTTTATCTTGTGCTTTTATTTTGAGATCTAATCTATTACTAGGTTTGTAAAAAATATTTAGTAGTTGATAATTTTAGAAATTATAGAAGCAATTTAAACATGGTTAAAAATAAATACTTGCTAGTAGTTTATACTAAGAAACATAGTATTCTTTTCCAAATCTGTAGTAACTGGAACTTTCTTCTGTAATTAATTTTATTATTATATCCTCAGCTATACAGAACACATATTAAGTAAAGGCCGTTCTGAAATATTCATATTAATTAAAGATTAAATATGGGCCTATGTAAGAATATGGCCATTTAGAACATTTAGAAAAAGTGAAATAGGTTGAAGGTCAGGTCACTGGCCTGTTCACGGGTAAAAGGGGTGAGGGGGACTTTTATTTTTTCCTAAAAATAAAAGCTGTTTACATTATAAATTATGAAATCCATTTCAGTTGATTTAAAAATATCCTAGTTATATTAGCTGCATGTAGACAAAATCTCAATATACCCTGGTAGCTTGTTATATATTTTTCTTTCATATTATTATGAAAACGTAGATGTCATAAATTATATTTTATTAAGCCATGTTTTCATTGCAACTCACTACATAAGGATTAAATTTTAAACACCTCACAAATTCACCAAACTAACTCTTAAGATTATCTGAGGATTTTCTTCTTCTAACATAGAAGTAGCTTTTTGTGATTTTACTAATTTAAAAAGTAACACATGTTAATTGTTAAAATAAACCAAAGCAAACAAACAAACAGTAAGAAAAATTCAGAATCTACAAGAAGTTCTAAAAAAGAACAAAAAGAAAATCCTCCATAAGATGATTACCCAGACATAATTGCTGTTTTGGCGTATATCATCCAAATATTTTTCTATGCAGTCATTCGCAATTTTTTCCTAAGTGGAATCATACTATATATAATGTTTTCAACTTTATTGAAAGTTAAAATGTTCCATGGCTTTCAATGTCAATAAATATTTACTTATAGTATTGTAATGGCTTTCCTTATACCCCATTTGTATGACTATAATTAATTTAACAAATTCTTCTTCTTTGACATAATTTAAGTTTTTACTTTCCCAATTATTTTTACTTTAAAATCTATACTCTTATTAGTCTGATTGTTACCACAGGATAAATTCTTAGCAGGGAAATTATTAGGTTAAAAATGTTAAAAATTCACATAAACAATTTTTATATGTATATTGAGTATATAATTCTAATCTTGTGAATTGCCTGTTCATAGCCTTTGCCTACTTTTCTACTCTTCATCTTTTTTTCAGACTGACTCCTCATAGTACTTCACATATTAAGGCTATTGCCGTTCATTTTGCAAATTCATGATTTTAAAATTCATTTTTAAAATTCATGATATCCAAGATTCCAAGTAAAAAATGGCCAAGTTTGTATGAGCAGTAAAGGGCAGGGGCACATAAAGAAATAGGTATGAACTTTTAAAAAAGATTCAGGGTATCCCTACATACTACTTAATATAGTAGCTGAATTACAACATAAAAAGATAGAATTTGACATTTAAAAAAAAGTCCTATAGTTAACATTGTAAAATATTGGCCATACTTTAGAAACAGATGCTGGAATCTTCTGTGGGACTTAGTAAGTGGGACACATACCTTTTGGCTTGCATAATCCACAGGGATGTGTTGGATGACCTCTCAAGATGTCCCTTTGCCCAGGGTGACTATTGTTTTCCATTTTCACGCATGAACGTGAGGTTCCTAAAAGCTCTAATTCAAGGTTCTTTTCAGTTAATCTACTGATGCTATCTATATTGTCCTTCTTAAATTGTTTTTTAAAAAAAAGATTCTAAACTGTATTGCCAAGTTTAAGAACAAATATAAGTAGGTTTTTTATTCATTTCTTCCTAATAGCAAAAAGTACACACGTAAGTGTGACTATGAGTCATCTTCCTAAGCTTTAATTTCTTACTGCTCTCTTGTGGCCATTCAAATGAACTGTCCAGATGCTTTTTTTTTTTTTTTAAACAGATCCTATAATATTAATAGAAACAAATTTTCCAAGCAGGGTCATTCAATTTTGTTCGTGCGGCAAATTTACAGTCTTTGACATTTGAACATTAAGGCCATAAAACAATTAATTTTATTATTAAACACTGGGACAGGGTTGCAGAATAAGAAAGGCCTGTAAGCTTCTTGTTTTTTAGTAAAACCAACCACATTGTTATTCATCTATGAAATCATCAAGAGGCTGAAGTTTGAAATATTTCTGGCCATTCTGAAGGTAAAATAATGCAATTCCCAGCTTGTTCCCTTACTGTGGTTTTAAGAATATCAGTAGGTACAGGGCGCAGTGGCTCATGCCTATAATCCTAGTACTGTGGAAGGCCAAGGCGGGTGGATCACCTGAGGTCAGGAGTTTGAGACCAGCCTGGCCAACATGGTGAAACCCCGTCTCTACTAAAAATACAACAATTAGCTGGGCGTGGTGGCTCATGCCTGTCATCCCAACTACCCAGGAGGCTGAGGTGGGAGAATTGCTGGAACCTGGGAGGTGGAGGCTGCATTGAGCCGAGATCTTGCCACTGCACTCCAAACTGAGCAACAGAGCGAGACTCCATCTCAAAAAAAAAAAAAAAACAAAGAAAGAAAATCAGTAGGGTCTAAGTTTAGTCATCATAACTTAAAACAGCCTCTTTTTGGGGAAGAAAATAATTCAAATAATGGCTATACATAAGAGTACAAATAAGATATAGCTAAAAATTTATTATATTGCAGTTTGGTCATGTAATACTGCCTGTAAGTAGAGAGGACCCCGGAATTGCAGTCTTAGCAATGTTAAGAAGGCAAAATGAATTAAATGCTTTATTCTTTCAGTCCTGAGTATCAGTCATACAAACTGTGTTGTTCTCTAACATCTCTAATTCATTTGACCACAATTCCTGTGACTACAGGTATTAAAAAATAGCAGCTTTTAAGCACAGTTAGTATTATATCTACCCTGCCATAATTAGCATATGTGTATTTGTATAGTCATCCCTCCTGTAAGATGAGGTCCATGTTGGGCATTGTGATATAGAACTGAACTCAAAGGGTCCAAGATTAAGTTCCTTCAAATAATGTGTACTGGAGCACCATTTATATGCCAGGTCCTGTTATACTATAGTAATCAACTTCCCCCAGAGACATAGTCTCATAGAATTTGTAGTCTGTGGTATGAGACAGACAGAATCAAAAAAGGACATGAAGGAATGTGAAACTACAACAAGGAAAAGTGCTATGAAAAAGGATATTGAGTGAGGAAAATCAGAGGAGGCCTTCCTGAGGCTGTGATGATACAGCTAGGATGTCAAAAGGAGTAGAAACCAATGAGGCAAAGAGGAGGGAAAGAGGAGAAGGATGAACATATACAAAGGCCTTGCACTGAGAGGGAGCAAGAAACTTTTAGTAAAAGGAAGCTATGGTCAATGACTCTGCAGTAAGAAAGCAAGAGGAAATGTGGGATGATTTAAAGTTGATGTATGTATGTTTTGTGAGCTCAAGCAGTTAGTTTGTCTTTATTATACTAGTATAAGAAAGTTATCAAAATGCTCTAAGTAAGTGATGATAGGCTCTCCTGTTTGTAAAGATTATTCTGATTGATATATGGGAAGCAGATAGACAGGAGTCAGAGTGATGAGAAGAGAGCCCTCTGAAAGGTATTGCAGTAGTCCAAGTGAAACATAATGGTAGCATTGACTGGGATGAGGAATATGTGAATAAAAGGATATGGAAATTCTAAACTTCAGGACTCAGTGATGGATTGGATATTAAGGGTCAGTGCGACAGAAGTAGTGGAGATAATTCCTGGATTTATAGCTTCATAACACATTGAATGCTGGTTATATGTACTAATAGAGGAATACCAGAGGTAACCAGTTTAGGGAGAAAGGGTGAGTTTAAGTTGTATATGAGACAGTCAAGTGGAGATGCCAAGAAGAAGGCACTTTGATATGTCAATCAAGAATTCAGAGGAAGATTCTGTCATAGAAAAATATTTGAGCAAATTTGGTCTTCTTTTTTTTATTTACAACTTTTTGGATAAAGGGGGTACATGTGCAGGTTTGTAATACGGGTAAACTGTGTGTCGTGGGGGTTTGGTATAGAGATTATTTTGCCCACCAGGTAATAAGTATAGTACCTGATAGGCAATTTTTTGATCCTTTTCCTCCTCCCACCCTCCACTCTCAAGTAGGCCCCGGTGTCTATTGTTTCCTTCTTTGTGTCCATATGTACTCGATGCTTAGATCCCACTTATAAGTGAGAACATGTGATGGTTAGTTTTCTATTCCTGTGTTAATTTGCTTAGGATAATGGCCTCTAGCTGCATCCATGCTGCTGCAAAGGACATGATCTCATTCTTTTTTACGGCTGTGTAGTATTCCATTGTGCAAATGTACCACATTTTCTTTTCTTTTCTTTTTCTTTTTTTTTTTTTTTTTTTGAGACAGAGTGTCACTCTGTTGCACAGGCTGGAGTGCAGTGGCGTGATCTCGGCTCACTGCAAGCTCCGCCTCCTGGGTTCACGCCATTCTCCTGCCTCAGCCTCCCGAGTAGCTGGGACTATAGGCGCCTGCCACCATGCCCGGCTAATTTTTTTGTATTTTTAGTAAAGACGGGGTTTCACTGTGTTGGCCAGGATGGTCTCGATCTCCTGACCTCGTGATCCGCCCACCTCGGCCTCCCATAGTGCGGAGATTACAGGCGTGAGCCACCACGCCCAGCTTATGTACCACATTTTCTTTATCTAGTCCATTGTTGATGGGCATTTAGGTTGATTCTATGTCTTTGCTATTGTAAATAGTGCTTCAATGAACATATGTGTGCATGTGTCTTTATGGCAGAATGATTTATATTCTTTTGGGCATATACCCAGGGATGGGATTGTTGGGTTGAATTGTAGTTCTGTTTTAAGCTCTTTGAGAAATCTCCAAATTGCTTCACAGTGGTTGAACTAGTTTACATTCCCATCAGCAGTGTATAAGTGTTCTCTTTTCTCTACAACCTCACCAGTATCTGTTATTTTTTGACTTTTAATAATAGCTATTCTGACTAGTATGAGGTAGTATCTCATTGTGGTTTTGATTTGCATTTCTCTGATGATTTGTGATGATGAGCATTTTTTCATATGCCTATTGTCCACGTGTATGTCTTCTTTTTAGAAGTGACTGTTCATGTCCTTTTGCCCACTTTTTATTAAAGTTGTTCATTTTTTGCTCATTAATTTAAGTTTCTTATAGATTCTGGATATTACACCTTTGTAGGATAGTTTGAAAATACTTTCTCTCATTTTGTACGTTGTCTGTTTATTCTGTTGATTTATTTTATTTTTATTTTTATTTTTTTTACAGTGCAGAAGATCTTTAGATTAGTTTGGTCCTATTTGTCAATTTTTGTTTTTGTTGCAATTGCTTTTGGTGACTTTATCATGAAATCTCTTCCAAGGCCCATGTCCAGAATGGTACTTCCTAGGTTTTCTTCTAGGATTTTTATAGTTTGGAGCCTAACATTTAAGTCTTTAATCCATCTTGAGTTGATTTTTGTTTATGGTGAAAAGAAGGGGTCCTGTTTCAATCTTCTGCATATGGCTAGCCAGTTATCCTAGAAATCAATGGAAGACTGGGATCAAAGAAGAAAAAAATTGTTAACATGCAAGCAGTTTAGGCAATAATAAATAACATCTACTATCTATAGCATTTAATGTTTCAGACATTTTCTCAGGGCTTTGCATATATTAACTCATTGAATCCTCCCACTGATACTATGATGTAGTATTATTATTATCCCCATTCTATGCATGAAGAAAGTGAAGTACAGAAAGGTGAAGTGTTTTTCTTGAGATTACACAACTAGTAAATAGAGGAGTTATGTTTCAAACCAAGGCAATTTGACTTCAGAGTTCCATGTTTTGTTTACCACTATGCTGTTCTGGCTCTTGAGATAAAAATAAAAAAAAATTTCACTTTATCAACATCGAGGTCAATCATGACCTTAACGAAAGTTGTTTGAGTGAAAAGACAAAGCCAACAGCCATGCTGGAGTGCACTGGAGAGCCTAGGAGATGAGAAGACGGACATCATATTTAGATACAGCTCTACAAACAGCTTTCAAAAAGCAGTGGCTCTTAGAAAGGTAGCTTTGATCAGGCCCAAGATAGAGTTGTGCCAGGATAACTCCTCAGAGGTCAGGGCAACTATGAAGATTCCAAAGACTCAGGTCATCACTCAGTGGATATGAGGGAGGGATTCTGAAATGCACCAGCCACTTAGTTCTGTCTTAGAATGGACAAAAGCATTGTATTACCTCTGATATTAAATTTTTGAGGAAGGCCAGACACGGTAGCTCACGTCTGTAATCCCAGCACTTTGGGAGGCCGAGGCAGGAGGGTCACCTGAGGTCAGGAGTTGGAGACGAGCATGGCTAACATGGTGGTGAAACCCTATGTATACTAAAAGTACAAAAAATTAGCTGGGCATGGTGGCAAGTGCCTGTAATCCCAGCTACTTGGGAGGCTGAGGCAGGAGAATTGCTTGAACTTGGGAGGCAGAGGTTGCAGTGAGCCGAGATCGCGCCATTGCACTCCAGCTTGGACAACAAGAGCAAAACTCCACCTCAAAAAAAAAAAAAAATTCTTTGAGGTCAAAATCTATTTTACTCATCTCATTATCACTTCTATTCCCAAACCCAAGCATTTATTGCAGTGCTTTATTTATATAGAGAGCAATGTGGTGCTGCCGAAAGTTTCTCTTTACTGGCTGCGTCTTTGGACAAATCCCAATCTCCTGGTTCTTCAGCTATGAAAGATGAGAAACATCCCCCTCTCAGTATTGTGTGTAGGATTAAGAATAAAAATACTTGGCCAGGCGCGGTGGCTCATGCCTGTAATCCCAGCACTTTGGGAGGCCGAGGTGGGTGGATCACGAGGTCAGGAGTTGGAGACCAGCCTGGCCAACATGGTGAAACTCCGTCTCTACTAAAAAAAATACAAAAATTACCTGGGTGTGGTGGTGCACACCTGTAGTCCCAGCTACTCGGGGGCCTGAGGCAGAAGAATTGCTTGAACCTGGGAGGTGGAGGTTGCAGTGAGCCAAGATCATGCCACTGCACTCCAGCCTGGGTGACAAAGCAAGACTCCATATAAAAAAAAAAGGGATAAAAATATTTTATTAATTACACAATTCTATGCAAATGTTAGTTATTAATATTATAAACTGTTAATGAAAGGACAAAGGAAGGGGAGAGGGAGGGAGACATCCTGGTGTTTGAGAGTTTCACCAGACTGGAAGAAACATAACTGCATTAAAATTGTATGCACATAGTAGGTGCTCAATAACTACTTCTTGGTAAATTCATTGTTTTTTCCACTTAGGAAGGACTAGAAGCGACAGCATGCAACCACTGGGGTCAGACAAGAATGATCCTGGCCTTTGCCTGAACACTATTCACAGGAGCACATTGGCCAATGGAGGGGGAAGGTCATGTAGCAGCAGTGATAGAACAGGCATTTAACATAAATATTTGCTGATTGATTGAACTGGACATATCATCAACATTGCAGCACAAAACTTTTCAACAAGGGATATGAGGTTTTAGAGAAATAAGCCTGCCAGCACTATGGTAGGCAGACATTTCCTGAAGTCACATTGCAATGCCTCCAATGAATTGCCCACCAATGCCAATTAAATGCAGTTGTAGTTAAACCTTCAGGGTGGTAGAAAATGATCTTTAGGACAGCTTAGGATTCACTGGGGAGTATCCAGTCTACAATGTTATAGTTTCACACATAATTTGAGAAGGAGACGTAGGAAGATGAAAGGCAGCTGATCGATGTCTATGTGGACTAGAGATTCTTCATTCAGAGCAAGTCTGAGAATGTTTAAATCTTCAGAAACAAGTAGGGCTTGTAGCTCTTTCAGACGTTACACCATGTCCTCTGAAATTTTCCTTCAAGTGCACATAACTCTTTTTTTTGAGATGGAGTTTTGCTCTTGTTGCCTAGGCTGGAGTGTAATGGCACGATCTTGGCTCACCACAACCTCCACCTCCTGGGTTTAAGTGATTCTCCTGCCTCAGCCTCCCAAGTAGCTGGGATTATAGGCATGCGCCACAATGCCCATCTAATTTTGTATTTTTGGTAGATACAGGGTTTCTCCATGTTGGTCAGGCTAGTCTTGAACTCCTGACCTCAGGTGTTCTGCCTGCCTCGGACTCCCAAAATGCCGGGATTACAGGTGTGAGCTAGCATGCCCGGCCCTCATAACTCATTAACATACCTTCACAAAGCACTGACTTTTCAAGTGAACGAAACAAAGGAGAGCAACAAGAACAATAACGGACACAGCAAATAAACCAAAGAGAAAAATAACACAATTAAGAAAAAGTACCTGTCTATGTTTGGGTCTGCAGGACCTGGCTGTATTAATGTGAAGTATGCAAAACTATTGAGAATTTTCTATATCAGATCTCTAGAGGAGTCATCATTCCACACACTTTTGAATTCTAGAACATCACCAGATGTCTCTAACCATCTTCCAGATATCTCCAAGTACACAACTAGGAGGATGCCTGGTAGGATAGGTTAAGGTCAAATGTGGGGCTTTTACGCAGTTGCTGATTGAGGTAGCCAAAAAGAGGGTTGTATACTTTGGTTTTTTTCTTTTGGAGACACACATGCTGTGTTGGTAGGGACCCCTGGGATAGTTGCTTTTTCGGTCCTAGGGTTTCACTCTGTGCAAATTCCACTTTGTGATGAGACTTTCTTTCTTTGGATGTAAATGCCCTCTAAATTAATTAAAGCCTGGAAGCCTGAAATTAAAAGCTGGCTGCTGCAACATACTTTTTTAGGTACAAGTTGAATGTAGGACTAAATGTTATGTTTGAAACATAATAATGTGATTAGTTTTAGCCAATACAATTTAAAAAGACTTGTATGTTACTGATGCATGGGCAGTCAAGCCCCTAAATTCTCTTGTAAGAAATCCATGACTGTACCCAGTTTAGCTTCATGAAGAGAGCATTCACATCCCTCCTTGCAGGTAACAGAAATTCACCTAGAACTTACATCTGCTCAAACCCGCTGGTGGAAATGCTGCTTCTCCCTAACTGGAGGAGTTAAATACAGCTACTTGTGACACACATGCTTTCAGAAAGGGTGATTTCATCACTTTCCTCTTGCAGTACCACCCTGCCTTGCTCAGCCCTGAGACATTCCCTTAGGTTAGTAAGTCTCCTGTTTTCCCCATCTAGAAAGGAAGTGTTAAATTTTGCTTTTGTCTAATTCATACCTGGTGACCCCATATTTTCTGTATTAAGGTGAACTTATTTACTCATTTCCATTTTTAAAACCAGATAACCAGATAATTTATCAGGTACACATGCCATTGTCATTGTCAGCTCTGTCATAGATTGAATCATTTCTTTCTCTCTCAAGAAAACATACAAAATGGAAAATGGTAATACTGATGCTATTATAGAGATGACATTGAATCTGTTCTAATTTAAAAGAAATTAATAGGCATTGGTACTTTATTACCAGTAATCACCAGGAACATACTTCATAATTGATTATCGCTGTGGCTGAGTACTATTTCCTAAGACAAGTGTCTGAGAGAGGTTTGACTCTGAATGAAGTTCAGTCAGACCCACTGATGGGCTTATGACCCTATGCTTACCAACTCCTCATAACTTTCATGGAGGAGGCCTCAAGAAATCAGACTGTGGGACTCAGGCAAGAGCTCTGTACGTGTGGAATGCACAATAAGACTCAGGCAAGGAAGAGAGATCAGAAGTCTAGCAGACTCTGACTTTCCATGTCTGTCCTGACATCATTCATTTTAGCTCATTACTCTCAAAGTGTTATTGAATATATTTCTATATAAAACGTACTTTAGTAAATAAAATAACCCATTCATCCTAATTAAAATTGTATTAAGAACTTAATTATGAGTAAATGTTCTTAAATTACATTTATTCTCATTCCAAAGTGCTCAGATATCCAAATATTAAATTAATATTTAGTGGATATTTATTGAACATCTAGTACATTCGCAATCCTATCTGCAGATGTATCAGAGAGCAGAATAGTCTCAGTCATCACAGAGTTCACTTTCTTGATTGGGAAATAAGTAATAAAAAGCAATTATAATAAAATATTATAAGTGTCAATACAAGGTAAGTACTAGATGCTAAAAAAATAAGTAGAAAAAGGCACCTAATTCCATTTGCAGGGGAGGGTCCCATGATTGCCTAGAAGACAGGATAACTAAGCTGCTGCTTGAGGGATGGCTAGGAATTAGTTAGGCAAAAGGATCTGAGCTTAAGTAAGAGAGCTCCAGCCAAATGGAATGCCATTAGCAAAGGACTTAAGGGAGAGATGGTTTCAAAGAACCATAAGAAACCGTCTCCATGTCTGGAGTCAAAAATCCAGTGAGGAGGTGGCAAAATTCAGCAAAAATCAGCATATGTAAAACTTCTAAGCCACATCAAGAATTTGGACTTTATCCTAAGGCCAATGGGAAGCCATTGAAAAGTTATATATGTGGGAGTGTGGTAAAATTAGATTTGTATTTTAGAAAGACTGCAGGCTGCACTGTGGAGAATACACGTATCCCTTGCTATGCACTTTATTAGACAGTAAGAACTCACAGTTTTCACCTTAGGAGTGAGGAGACTTGGATAAATTTTATACAAAATCCCTTGTCTCGAACCTCTTGCTACTCACAATACCAAACAAATTTAGATAACATAATGTCCTTTCCTCTCTGAACTCTTACTGTCCAAACTGAGAAATCAAATAGATTCAGAGAATAAAGAATTTTGTAAGTTTGGATGAGTAACAGTGGAGGCTGGAGGAATAATTAAGGTAGTAGTAAAGGAAGTAAGTTGCAATGACCTAAATATTTGAGAGAGATGTAGAATAGAGCATCAATAGACCACTATGATAGATTTAATTCTGGCAGGGTGGGGGAAGCAAGAGTAATGGAGGCAAGGGGGTAAAGGATGTGGCACAATTATTTGTTTGGGGGAACTCAGTGGTCTTTCTACTGCTGTGTTAAGAAGTAAGGAGACAGGAGGGCCCTGGCGAGGTGGCTCACAAGTCACCTCAGGAATTTGGAGGCTGAGGTGGGCAGATCACCTGAGGTCAGGAGTTCAAGACCAGCCTGGCCAACATGGCAAAACCCCATCTCAACTAAAAAGACACACACTATATATATATAAAATATAATATATATACACACATTATATATATGTGTATATATACATTATATATGTAGATAAGTATATTGTATATGTATATATTATATATAATATATGTATATATAACTTTTATATATACATACACACACACACACATATGTATATAATGTTAGCCAGGTGTGGTGGTGCACACCTGCAGTCCCAGCTACTTGGGAGGCTGAGGCAGGAGAATCGCTTGAACCTGGGAGGCAGGGGTTGCAGTGATCCGAGATTGTGCAACTGCACTCCAGCCTGAGTGACAGAGTGAGTCTCCATCTCAAAAAAAAAAAAAAAAAGGAAGTAAGGAAACAGGAATTGTTTCTGATAAAAAATGGAGTATGAGGATCATAGGATGTAGAATATTATAAATTCTGTTTGGGACATACTGAATTTAAGATCTAAGTGGGAGATCGAAGTGCAGCAGTCCAGGAAGCATTTAGATGTTTGAGTCTGAAGCTAAGGAATGAGAGCTGAGCTAAAGATACAGAATTTTTAGCTATTGGCTTATAGATGGTGCAGGAGAGACTGCTAGTTGCCTGCTAAAATCCACCCTCTTCTTTCTGAGGATATGCCCAACTGAAGTCACATTTCGGAGCTCTCCTGGTGGATCCATGTGGTCATTTGGCCACATATTTACCAGTGGATTGTGGACAGATGTGACATATGTAATTTACATATCATTTCTACCCCTGAGACTTCTTATTTTTTTTGCCTCCCTCAGGACCCTGAATTTAACAGCAACCCAGCTGCAAACAGCAGCCACTGATGATGCAGGGATGCAGAGCAGCAGGAGAAAAGAAGCTGGGTCTCTGAGTGACTGTGTGGAGCAGAGCTGCCTTGCCATCCTGAACAACATACTCCTTGACTTTAGGTAAGGGATAGATAAACTTCATTCCTTAAGCCACTCCTCTTTTTTTATGGTAGCTTTTTTTTTTTTTTTTTTTTTTTAATGGTAGCTTAGTCTTCATCCTAGACAATAGAGATGGCAATCCTAAGAAGGTGCATTAGATACCCCAGGGAAAGAATGTAGAGTGAGGAAAAAAAGGTGACATGATAGGATTTTCTGAAACATCAATACTGAAAAAATATTTCTGAATTGTGAAAAAGGGGTGAGAAGGTAAAACCTGAAATATAGGAGGAAATCAAGGAGTGTGTGTTTTCATATAAGCTGGGGAAGGAGAGTTTCAGGAAAAAGGGAGTGGTTTTTAGGGTCAAATGATGCCAATAGGTGAAATAAGAACGGGGAAATAAATCTAAGGTATTTAGTGTCAAGGACGCCATAGATGACTTCAATGAGAACAGGTTCAGAAGAGTAGTGGAGTGACGAGATGGTGGAGAAATTAGAAAGAACCTGCAAACACAGAAAGCGTTTTTAAGAAGTTTGCTGTGTCAGGAAAGAGACAGACAGAGCCAGAGTTATAGATGGAATTGGAATCAGCAACTAACAGCTAACATAGCTGAGTACTTATGAGGTCCAGATACTCTTGTAAACATTCTACACATATTTCCCATTCAATCTTCACAACAACCCTGTTACGTTAATTCTGTTATACATACTTCACAGGTGGGAAAACCAAGGCAAAAAACATGCAACAATTGTCCAAGGCCCTGTTAAGTTTTGGAGCACCCTTAATCATCTTCTGCTATATCCACCTGCTGGTCTGGCAGTCCAGGAAGGTTATATATGTGGGTTCTTTTATTCATAACACTGAGAAGCTTCCTATTTTAACTATTCTTGCTGAATTGGAGTTCAGTTTTAAACTTAGGCCCAACAAAATGTTTAACACTTAGGCAAAGAAAATTAGTTGTTCCATTCCAACCAAGGTTCAGAAACTTTTCTATTTGCCTCACTCTCTGAGCCCTGATTAGTGAAAGAACACATCTAGATGCTCTGTATTGATAATAATCATCATTGATATGGCTTCACTGTGTCCCCACCAAATCTCTTCTTGAATTGTAGTTCCCATAATCCCCACATGTTGTGGGAGAGACCCAATGGGAGGTAATTGAATCATGGGGGCAGTTACCCCCATAATGTACTCATGATAGTGAATAAGCTCTCATGAGATCTGATGGGTTTTCTAAGGGGTTTACCCACTTTGCTTGCTACTTCTCCTTCCTGCTGCCATATGAAGAGGGACATGTTTGCTTCCCCTTCTGCCATGATTGTAAGTTTCCTGAGGCTTCCCCAGCCATGCTGAACTGTAAGTCAATTAAACCTCTTTTCTTTATAAATTACCTGGTCCCGGGTATGACTTTATTAGCAGTGCGAGAACGAACTAATACAATTATTATTTGTTAGTCATATCATGAGTTAGAGTAGTCTCCCCTTATGCATGGGGTATACATATCACAACCTCCAGTGTATGCCTGAAACTGCAGACAATACTGAACCCTCTATGCACTATGTTTTTTCATTCTTGATAATGAAGATTACTATTAAGTGACTAAGGGACAAGTAGCACAGGTAACTGACAAAGTGATGATTCATATTCCAAGCAGGACAGAGTTAGACAATGTGAAATCCCATTACACTACTTAGAAGGGGCAGGCAATTTAAAACATGAATTGTTTATTTCTGGAATTTTCAATTTAATATTTTTAGACCATGGTTAACTGTGGGTAACTGAAACTGCAGACAGTGAAACTGCAGATAAGGGAAGGACTACTGACTGATTTGTGGGTTCATTTGAAACTGCTTGCTTTGGATGCCAACATTATTTAGCTTGCTTGTTAGTTTGAAATAAGCACCAAGGGATCTAGAAAAAGAGCTAAGAAAATATAAAAGAAAGGATTTCTGGGAAATGTTGAGGACCCAGTTACTATAGCAGAGACCATGAACTTAGTATGGCATCTATCTGCACAGTTACGTGATTTCCTCTAAATTATGTTCAGTCACTGAGGTGAATATGCTGAGAAGGGAGATGGTTGGATTCCTCAAGACTTGGGTTTCTGCCAGTACATGATGGAAGAATAATGAGCCAAAAAGTTAGGATATTAAGAACAGAGTAGTTGAAATGATGGCTCATGGGACTTACACTATGTAGAAAAGGAAGACAGGGGAGAGTTGATTAGGAGAATGAAGAAGGGTCAAGGGTTTTGAATGTAAGCTCCACAAGAGCAGGCATCTTTGCTGGGTTCACTCCAGGAGATCTGATGTCTAGAACAATATAAGGTACTAACAGGGCTCTTCATAATATTTAGTACAGTGGCTAAACAAATGAGGTTAAAAAATGTATGGGAAGTAACTGGGCAACAGTCAGAGAATAAGAGTTTTAGGTCAAATAATTATAGATTCTGAATTTGCAATAGAAAATCTGGAGCAGTTTCAGATAAAGATTAATGACTCCGATTTACAGCATTGCGGTGGACTCCTGAAGGGTATTGGACTGGAAAAAGTCATTCGAGATGAGACCAACGTGCTTAGAACCAAAGGTTTGTTTGGGCTGAACACAGGTCTTGCCAGGCACTCAGGATAATAGAATTTGGAGAAGAGAGAAGAAATGTAAGCCCAGGCACCAAGACGATCAGTGAATGAGAAGGAATGATTAAGAGGCTGGAAGACAACACACTGTGATGGACAGACAATAGTATGACCAAACGGTATATGAGTCAATAAAAAACTTCCAGCTACCTCCACTCAATAATAATAATGGTTAATGTGTTCCATTCGCCTGGCTAAAGTGACTCACAATGGATGCTTTATAGTCCGATATACCTGTTTTCATGGTCTAAAATAAAATATTGATTGCTCATCTGGAAAATTATTTTATTCTGTGCCATATGATATGAATCTTGCTTTTTTTTTTCTTTATGTGCCAACACTGGGTGAATTTATAAGGGCAGATTTATTTGACGGAAGTTATCAATCAGTAAAAAGAAAACACGTTCAATCTAGTTTAAGTTTCTGATATTTGTGTAATAATGCATTTGCAAGTTCTTATTATTCATTATTTTTTCTAGATAGGCATTTTCTAGGCTGGGCATGGTGGCTCACTCCTGTAATCCTAGCATTTGGGAGGCTGAGGTGGGTGGATCACCTGAGGTCAGGAGTTTGAGACCAGCCTGGCCAACATGGTGAAATCACGTCTCTACTAAAAATAGAAAAATTAGTTGGGCATAGTGGTGGGCACCTGTAATCTCAGCTACTTAGGAGGTTGAGGTAGAAGAATCGCTTGAGCCCAGGGGGTGGAGGTTGCAGTGAGCTGAGATCATGCCACTTCACTCCAGCCTGGGTGAAAGAGCAAAACTCTGTCCCAAAAAGATGTGTGTTCTACTCCTTCTTTATTCTTATTGCAATGACATGCATGATGGGAGCAAAGTATGTCAAATATCTTGGGTTGGCCAAGGCCTTTTATTTTTCCTAGTGGTATATTGTTTACTTGTTGGTGTAGTTTGAAGTTAACTATATTCAAATTTGACAATAAAAATATTTTCTTTTTAAGTGATCAGTTTTCATTTTGATGATGTTATGTAAAGTGCTAAACATTTTATCATGTCTTGAAACTGAAATTTGTCTCAACTTTTTTTTTTTTCTATTTTTTTTTTTATTATACTTTAAGTTTTAGGGTACATGTGCACATTGTGCAGGTTAGTTACATATGTATACATGTGACATGCTGGTGCGCTGCACCCACTAACTCGTCATCTAGCATTAGGTATATCTCCCAATGCTATCCCTCCCCGCTCCCCCCACCCCACCACAGTCCCCAGAGTGTGATATTCCCCTTCCTGTGTCCATGTGATCTCATTGTTCAGTTCCCACCTATGAGTGAGAATATGCGGTGTTTGGTTTTTTGTTCTTGCGATAGTTTACTGAGAATGATGATTTCCAATTTCATCCATGTCCCTACAAAGGACACGAACTCATCATTTTTTATGGCTGCAACTTTTTTACAGTGTACAGAAGCATGTAAAGGTGCTTTGTTCTATACCTAGAAGAGAAAATGGAAAATTGAGACAATCACAAATTTAAGTATAAAAATAACTTGGTTATTTCATTCAAAAACATTTTTTAGCTGAATGATCTGAATATTTGTCTAATTGCCCTCATTTATTTCTGTCCAAGGAGATACAGTGTCTGAAACAGAAACTAAATAAGAAGTTTCTGATTCTTTGATTAAAGAATAGGTGAAAATGTTTTGACGTCTGTGCTATAATGGATAGAACCTATCCTAGTCAAAAAATCCTTTATCTTGATTGTCAATAGCTAGAATTTAGGGATAGAAGCCAACCAATGGATAGGTTGTTTCAGAAAGGAGTGTTTTCTTGCTGAACTCTTGCTTTCCTTTGTCTTTTTTAAGTTGAAAGTCACCAGGCACTCTTTGATAGCTTGTTCCAGTATTCGCTAGTATTCTTTCCCTTTCACTGTTTCAACTGTGCTAGTCAAATGAGTTTCCATAGCCCTGTCCTCAAAAGTTGTATAGGGCATGATGGCTTGTTTTGTTTGGCAAAATTCTCTAGAACGTGATTCATTGTCTGCAGGTGATTCATGGTTAGGAAATTAATTCTGAACTCTGCCAGTGATTGCGGTTGATTAAAGTCCAGAAGTCCCTGCCGTCTGTTCACTAGCACTCTTTGTCAACTGAAATATTTCTATAATAAAAAGAGCCGAAAGTAGATGTGCTTGATGCATGGAATTAACATGTGTGTTTGCATCTTTTGAAACAGCTACTCAAGCCTACGCAATTTTAACACTTGGCATGAAAATCATTTGAAAAGTGTCTGACTGAATGAATCACATTTTACAAATAAATATCTGTCAAATGGTGCAATTACTTCAGATCCAGTCATTAAGCAATAAAATAAAGAAGTAAATAGGATACATCTGCTGCAAAGTGCTATAGATATGTGAGTTTCCTTCTCAAGTTACTTGTCTTTAATATTTTAGCCTAATTGGTAGAATGATTCACTAGAAACATCTACCACTCAATCTAATTATGGCACCAAAAAAAAGGGAGGGGGGAGGGAAATAAGGCTTTCTAGGCTAGTCCACAGGAAAAGAAAAAAAAATTCACTTACATGAGTAAAGAAATCAAAGAACAGAGATGAGCATAAAGCATTTCTTTTATGTGTCATTATGAGATGAAGGACCACAAATTTGAAAAATAATACCAGCAACTCAAGGTGTTAAGTACTTTCTTTCTATATTAAAACATTTTGTTGTGTCCATGCAAAAATCAAAGCAAATTTAAGAAGATTGTGATTTTTGTAAACAAATGGAATTCTCTGTGTGTGTGTGTTTTCTTTAATGAGGAAAGTAAGTAAATGAACAGGGATTATATTAGCGTTATAATTCTCTACCACTTTAAGTTTATCAGTGATACACAATTTATATTCAACAGCAGGCCAGGCAACGCATAAGGAAAATATGGCTTTTTGACACATAAATGACAACATCAAATATTAGGTCTTCTATCTCCAGTTGGCCTCCTTTCTATATAAATAATTATGAGAAGGACATAAGAAATAGGAAACCTGTGAATAGTTTAGTGAAATATTTAAAATAAGTTTTTGCCTGGATTTTATTATAAAAGTAGTACATTTTGTTGTTAAAACTTTAGAAAAAATAAACAGAAGAAATGAAAAATTACACATAATCTTACCACTCAGAAAATTTATATCGCTTCCTATGTATCTCGTGGTTTTTCTGCATTTTTTTCTCTGAATACTCTTAAGCCTTGACCTAAAGATGCCTCCTATTTCTGTTCTCTTTTGTCCATCTCACATTACTATGAGAAGAACATGCTCAATCCAGCTTATTATCCCAGGGAGGAGGAGAGACACGTGGAGCATGTGGAGCAGAGCTGCTCCAGCCAATCCGTAGGCCTACAGTGATGCATGAGTAACAATAAATGCATGAATGGAAATAAGTAATAGTTGTTTGGGGGTGATTTGTTATGCAGCAATAGCCAACAGGTACAATGTGAATAGATATAAATATATTTACTCACACACACATTATATATACGTATATGCAAATGTGTGAGTATATATGCTCACACACATTATAAGTATGCTTTCTATATATGTATGAAATATGTATATAAAAAAATCAGAAGCACAATGTCCTTTAATGTGTTCTTTCAGTGAATATATTACCACACTTATATCAAGTATAAATAAATATTTCCATCTTTGTCTTCCTGCGAGAGTGTGAGGTTGGTGAAAGCAGACACTAATGTATGCTACAGCCTGGCCAGAATATAGCCTACAGTAAGAACTAAAAAAGCACTTGCAATTAAATTAGAATTTTCAATAATGTCTTTTTAATGGCTATACTTTATTCCATTGTATATATGCACATATAATAATATACCTAATCAGTCCCCAATTTTTATTCCTGTTGAAATTGGTGTATAGTCATATAGTTAAGTCTCTATACACATGTCTGATTTTTTCCTTTGGAAAGACTCCTAGAAGTAGAATTTTGGATCCAAAGTTATAGAAAGGACAGCTATTTAAATAAAAACCTTTCTATCAGCATCTTAGAAATCATGATTTGGAAAATGACTTTTGGTTTTTGTTTTTTTTGTTTTTTGTTTTCTTCTAATATGGCCTTTCTAAATTAAGGTGAGAAAAAGAGTGGTCTCAAATTTTTCTTAGAACAAGGAAAGTTTAATAGTAAACATTTTTTCCCCTTAACATCAAGAAATTAAGCCGTAACCACTTTCCGTTCTGTCATTTTCTCTTTCTGATTCTTTGGCTTCCTTTCATAGCTGGTCGATGAAGATCTTTTGAGATTTACTATGTGTGGAACACTTATGGTATTAATCTCTTCTCTAAAGGTACTATTCTGCTCTTCCATTTAACACTCAAGCAGGTATATGGAATAACAGTGTAGAGACTATAAAATCATAGGCTGAAATTCCAAAGATAGTACCAATCAAACCAGAGAGAAACAATCTCACCTGCTTCTGTGCACACCCCTATTATCTGACTTGAAGGGACCTTTCATTGCCTTTCAGTTGAGACAGGTTTTAAAGCAAAGACCAGAAAGTTGACTAGAGGCCCAGAGGACTTATTAGCAATCATAAGAGAGGGTACATGTGCTAATGCTGAAGAACTTATACACAGTATTTTACTGAGGATACCCTTTAAAAGGGGCCCTAATTGTGTCTGAAACTCTTCCTTCCTCATCTCTAGGGATTATTCTACGATGCAGACTTCACAGTGAACAAAGACATTTGCTTTACAGCTTTCTTTGTAGTACCTGTTCAAAGTATAATAGGCTTGTCAATACATGGTAATGTTATTCCCACATTCTGTTAAGCACTATATTTATTATAAAACATAAATGATGGTGGGCTGACAGATTTTGTTAGTACAGACACTGGATTTTAACTACGCACAGCCTAGTTTAATTGATATGTATTTCTATAGTTTAAAAAACTTTTGTTGGTTGTTTTCCAAATGTGACTAATTTGTATTTTAATGCTGATATTATATTCAGTTCATGGCTGTAGCTAAGGAAATATAATCAGAAGAGTTTAATTTTGCTTTGAAATAGGTATATGATTTGTAAAGATCAGAAAAAAAGAGGGGGTATTTCTTTGAGTTTTAAATAACTGCAATTTTAGCCCACTTTTGATATCACAATTGTCTTGGACTAATTTGAATATAACCCCTTGTAGCAGGGTTGAACCATTTTCTCCAGGATCACAGTTCAATTCCATATATAGAACAAAAACTGAAAGGATTTAAAAAGTGTTTCTAATTGTGCCCCACCCCCAACACCCACAAAGAAGGCCGTGTCTTGTCACTGTTGTACAGTTATGCTTGTAAGCCACTTAAATCAAGCCAAATTTACAGTTGGAAGTACCATATTTCAGTGAAGATTTTTCCACTGATGCACAAACTTCAATTTAATAAAAAGGCCACTGGATTTTGGAACAAATATGAAAAATGATACTCTCTATTTATGTTGGAAACATTGAAGACATGATTCAAAGATTACCCTCATCCTGTCCCCCACAAGAAAAAACAGATGTATACATATATTCAAAATGATATGAATAATGGGGGCATTTATTCAGATATTTGGCTTGAAATAATCCGATGTACTAGATAAAAGTGTTTTGGTACTTTTGGGCTTGAATTATTGAGGTAATTGCACCAATTCACCATTTTACTTTGCCTCTGCAAGTATAGCAGTACGTTAATTATAGTCCAATGTACAGGGTTTTTTTTCCTCCACAGACACTTAAGGGATACTGGATTTCAAACCAGGAGATATGGCTTGATCCTCTGTCACCCTGGTTAGCCATGTGACCACGGACAAGCCACTTTTCCTTCACTGGTTCTGTTTCTTGAACTAGATAAAGACTATAAAGCATTCTCTGCACATTTTATGAAATTATGACAAGGCTAAATAACAACATGAAGAGCTAAGATTTATGGATCACCACGTGTTTTATATACACAATCTCCTTTAATTTTCACAAAAATCATCATTATGTAGAAGAATTGATGTTCAGAGAAATAAAAAACATTGTGAAAGTCACACAGCTAGAACTGTACAGTACCCAGACTCAAACCCCAGACTCGAATTCCAGTGTATACGTTATATGACTTCTAATGAGGCAAACTCCTGCACATAAATAAGGGATTACTTTTCATATGATTCCATTCAGTGCAATGAACCAGGAAACCTACAAAGAGTTGAGCAAACTCCCATACTGGTGGGTATTTAAAATTCACAGATTTTTCACCTTTTTTCAGCAATGATTCTAGGACATTTGAACAAATGACTCTTAACTGTGTCACTGTTGGGGCTGTCACCACATGTTCATGAAAGACATGTGAAACCTGTTAGCTTTGGCACCACCATCAATAATAACTTTGCCATTTCCCTCAGCTTGGGAACCAATCCCTGGGGTTGGATTTACTAACACCAGCATGAGGTCCCTTATCTAATCAGAGCTAGACTTAGCCATATTTCAGTGCATTTGACAAGAAATGATGCAATGGTCTTAGCTGAAAATGAGATATGCATTTGACATTTGAATATCACATGGTAATATGATTGTCAACTGAATTGCAAATAATAAGTTTAGTAAATGTACGGTTTAAAATAAGGTAAGGTTTTACTCTAGAGCTTTTCTTCCTTGGTGACCATGCTACTTTCCCACACGCATGCATTTATGTGTTGACATACTTACATACTTACTCACTTATCTAAGAAATAATAATAATATGCCTGTGAAAACAACCAGGTTGTGTCTGTTTTAAATACAGAGAAGTCACCCTTTTCCGTGCTCAAGATTTTCCCATACACTGATGAAGAAAATTTGAAATATTTCTGTTTCGATTCCTGCAGTGAATAATTTCCCATCTGTTCACCATCTCTTTATTCTGCAAATATTTCAAAGGTAACAAAATAGCATGTTCCATCCTTTATAAGTTTCTACCAAAATTCCCACCGAACAGACTACACAAAATGTATGCAAAGTAGGCTCACTATCATTTGCATAGCTTAAAAAAGGGAATATATGCAACTAAGAATTTCAAAAGAAAACATTTGACTTTCTAGAAATAACGAATAAGGTATAATATACAGTAAAATTCCACAAAATATAGAAGTGCTACAAATAGGCTAATTTTACATTAAACTGTTGCTAGAAAAACTGCAAACAGAGGTCAATCTTTGACAGATCTAAAAATACAACATGTGGATCAAATTTTCCAGTCACAGCTTCATCTCTGTAGATTTTCTTTCCCTTGTAAAAAATCTTGCTATTTCTGCAGAGGAACTGATTAAACTGTCCACTTTAGTGCTGAGCCATGTATTTCTGAAAATGAGCTTCAGCCGACAATGCAGTCTATTTGGGGTGTGTGTGTGTGTGTGTGTGCATATTTGTGTGGGTTTTAATCTGTCCAACACCAGCTTTTAGGTCCTACATTTCATATTTGACAATTTGCCTTCAGCATAAACTCTCTTGTAGTGGCAGCTGCTTGAATTTTCACATAAATGGTATTCCAGCTGAGAACTATGTCAGCATAGCCATGTCATTGGAACATATATTTTTAAGCCTTTTCTAATAATTAACATACATTATCATATATTGCTCTCTGTAACTCTTGGCTTTTACCTCAGTAAAAGAGGATGATGGTACACATTTTTAGCTCAACTCATAAACTTCAGAACAATTGAGCTAGAAGATGAAACACTTCTTGTAAAATTTTATAACAATGTCTTAGAAAAACTTGCTCTATCATGGACCCAGTTTTCCCCTAGGACTTAAATCACAACTGAAAGTGCTTTGTTTCTTTAGGCCACTTATTTACCGTTTCACAACATAATGCTCTACTAATGTAAGACACTATGGGGGAAATACTTTGACTAGAATATATGTTTTATCTATGCCAGTAAACCACAAAATATCCTGAATAAGCAAATACACTAGATAATTGAAGCTCATTCCTTTAAGTCCCCCAATTTTTTGTGTTAAAATATATACATGTTTTCATAGAATTTTCCCAAAAATGTACCTCATAATAAGCCTGAACATTTTTGCATAATTCAACTGGAGGGCAAATCTAATAAATATTCATTGTGATGCCTCTCTGGCTGATAATTTCCTTGCATAGGCATGGCACTAATATACAGTTTTGTCCCTCAGGAGCCAGTTTAGTTCTGTGTGAACTCTTTCTCATGGACACAACTGATTGGCTCATGGTTAGACACCTGACTTGAACTGGGTAATCAGAGTCCTTATCCATGATTTTCAGACAGAATTAATACAGGGAATAGTCCTCAAATTTAGACTGATGGGAGATACAGACTGTGATGCTAAAGTACTGCTGGCAGGCAGGTTACCCGTGACATGCAGGGAGGCAGTCTGCAGCAGGAACAAATGATGAAGAGAGGCCAAGGTGAATAGACAGACAAAAGATGCTAAGAAAGAAGTTGAAATTTTTTATCTGTTTACCTCTGAGTCATAGCTTTACTTCTGTCCTTCCTGAGATTAGAAAAGTAGCCTTCTTATGAGTTCCCTTTATTGTCTAACCTGGTTCTACCTGATTTCTGTTACATGAAAGCAAAGAATTCTGATGACATTATCACATATCTGTTTTGTCCACAGCTGATTCAGGGAAACTTCTGAACACTAAGCTATTGCAGGACAGATGAAATGGGTTTTATGTGAACCTTAGCCAGTGTGATTTTCTGAAGCAATGGAAGTATTTACAATAATTTTTTCTCTTAAATATGGCAAAAGCACTGATTTTAGACATAGCATTTTCTTTTCTTAGACATCTTCATATTGTCTTGATGATGTAGGGTTTTATGCTATGATGCATTTCCATCATTATACTCTTCTAATTCAGTGACACCTTCAGGAGCTTTTTGAAATAGGAGAGGCTGTGTCCACACTAAATGACCCCAGACAACTGGGCTTTGTAAGATATTGGGTTTGATTTACAAAGATTCTCTGTCATTCCCTCATTAGCTTGCTGTGGCCCTTGTATCTGCCTCTAGAAAGAGGTGGTTTGAGAAACAATATGGGCAATAGAGATAGGAGATGTGGGTTGGCCATAATGTGAGTAGTTGAACTTTGGTAGGTTATTTTAATATTTGAGCTTATCCTCCCTCTTCCAAAACTGGCATAACAGTAAACTTCCAAAGTAGATTTTCTAAAGAACAAATTTAAAAATGTATGGAAAATACATATTAGGAGTTCTATAAATCCTAGATCATTTCCAGCAAGTACTTCCCCTTACTTCTAATTTATCACTCCTAAATTGTTCTTGGCTAGGAAAGCATATCTGAAGACATGGGATTTGAAGGCTTGATAGTAAGTTAAAGATAATTTGACTTTTTAAAAAAAATCACTTTAAAGATTACTTATTTAAGTATTGTTTAATTTAAAACCGCTTATCCATATTTGAGTGCTCTCTACAAAGGTCTCATAATATGTTTAGACAAACACTTTCCCATCCTACCATAGAGAATGTTCATTTGCTCATTCCACTCTTGGGCAGCTATGATTATTAGAAGGTTCTGCTTACATTGAGATCATTGCACACTGGAACTGTTTCTACCTATCATTGCCAAACAGGTGGTAGTATGTGTGTTTCTATATAATGACTATTCAAATATTTGAAGGATACTGTCTTGTTCTCCAAATCTTCTTTTATCTAGGTTAAAAATGTCTACTCATTTTACTTCATCTTTCTTAATCATCTTTTCAATATCATCCATTTCATCTTTTTTGAACTAATGTACATCAGATATTATCTGAGTCACTTGGAGTAGAATCCAATTTTTCTCACACCAGCCCAAGATTTTATTTTTTGATAACTACAGAAGATAGCTGTCAAACAGAGGAATGTTTATATTCGGAATTAGATTATCAGTGAACCCAAGCTATAGCCTAGTGCCCTTCTCATGAATCAGTAGAAAACTTTGCTCACTATAAATCAAAGCTCAATCTAGTTTTATAAACACACACGTTTTATATATATATATATATATATATATATATACCAATTACAAAATCCTTTGTCTTACCATTTTTTGAAACTAGATGTTTGCATTTTTTATGTGGTTCTGTCATTTCAATCATAAACACCTTTAGTACATTGAGCTGAACTTTTAAGATATTTAGAATAGGTATCTTAGTCTATTTTCTGTTGCTATAACAGAATACCACAGACTGGATAATTTATAAAGAATAGACGTTTATTTGGTTAGTTGTCCTGAAGGCTGGGAAGTCCAAGAGTATGTTGCTGGCACCTGGCAAGGGCCTTCTTGCTGCATCATAACGTGGCAGAAGGGCAAGGGAGAGTGCTAGACAGAGAGGAAAATCAGGCCAAACTCATTCTTTTTATCAGGAGCCCACTCTCAAGATAACTATCCCACTTATACAATAACAACATTAGTCCATTCATGACAGTGGAGCCTTCATGGCTTGTTTACCTTTTAAATGCCCCACCTCCCAATACCACTTCTTTGGCAATTAAATTTCCACATAAGATTCAAAGGGGACATTCAAACCATAGCACTAGGTGTTCTTTTAGAATCATAATTGTAATTTTGATTTAACTCTAATCAATTCAATTATTGTTCTATATTTTTTCAGCCTGGAAAAAATTTTGCTTTCAGAGACTCACTTTCTCTATTGCCATTTACAAACACTGCTCTAAGTGGTGCTCCAATTTTTTAATTGCTTTTCTTTGAATGTCACTGAGAACTGAAAAGCTCTATTTGATAAGTTTTCAGTGTGTGTGTGTGTGGGGTGGGGGTGGGTGTTTATGTTAAGGGTCATGTAATTTAGGACTTCAACACAAATGGCCAGTGTAAGAGTTAAAGCCAACTGCAAAACTTTGGCAGGAACAGTCCTCATAAGAGAACATTCTCAAGTTTGATAATTTGCTAGAAATGTCACATGACTCACTGAACACTCTTATATTCATAGGTAAAGTTTGTTAGAGAGAAAGGGTACAGATTAAAATCAACTAAGAGAAGAAGCACATAGGGCAGATTCCAGGAAAAGTATCTAACATGGAGCTTCCATTGTTACTTTCTTGGCATTGATTCTTGACAATACACATGGAGTATCTTGACAATACACAACCAGGAAAACTCACCCTACCCTTTTGTGTCTAGAGTTTTCACTGCTGTTTAATCACATACTGCCATGTGGTTGAGCTTTTCATTTTCAACCCCTTCTAGAAGTTGAACTGACACCTGTAGTCTCCAGTCTCTTCTGGAAGCAAAACTGATGCTGCATGACCCAAAGCATCTATCATAAATTGCCTTATTAGACTGTCTGTTGGCTAAAACCCACAGGCAAAGACACTCATATCAGGTATGATATTCCAAGGACCTAGAGATCACTTCCCAATATTGGGAGGAAAGGTCAGAATTTTCTCTGAATAAAGTTAATTCTCTACTCTGTAACTAGACAGTAAACTCATCTATTTTATTTTAAACTTTTTAAAGAAAGACATCTCATCGAATGTTTGTGTTCTCCCTGCCCCCAAATTCATATTTTAAAATCCTAATCCCAATATGTTGATATTGGTAGGTGGGGCCTTTGGGAGGTAATTAAGTCATAGATCTGAATCCTCATAAATGAAATTAGTGCCCTTATATGAAGAGACAGGAAAGAGATTTTACTGTTGACCATATGAGGTTACAACAAGTAGACGGCTGTCTGCAAACCAGGAAGAATGGCCTCACCAGACTGAATCTGCAGGTGTATTGATTTTGGAATTCCCAGTCTCTAGAACTATGAGAAATTAATGTTTGTTGTTAAAGTCACATAGTATATGGTATTCCATTATAGTCTGAACTGACTAAGACATATATCACTGTTCTCCACAGAATATGACATAGGAAGATGCTCTATAAATATTTTGGAGTAAACAAATTAATGTAAGCACAAAACTTCCTGTTTTTACTAGGATTTCACTACTTTCTTACACTCAACTTTGCTTACCTGCCCTTATAATTTGTTATATGTCTTTAGAAACGCTAGGCTCATTTTATATAAAAATTCAGATTTCTGTTTTTTCTTTTATGAAATCAGAAGCTATGACAGAGTCCTGAATGACAACAATTTGGGGAGCTGAAGAGCAACTGTCCGCATCCTACAGGACACCTCCCCAAGTTCATCACAGTTGACACCCAGTCTGCTCCACACACTGTATTTTCTGTTATTTATTTTTTCTTTGGTGGTCCTCTCTTCCTAATGGGAATAGTCAAGTGACGTTTTCATGCAACAAGGGTCCTGACCTATTCGGAGGTTTCAAAGAGAACCTCGCTGAGGTAATAACTGATAATAATTAATTTAGAATAATAAAAAGTAAACATAAAATGCATTTTTAAAAGATACAAAATTAGCGTGAACCCAGGAGGTGGAGCTTGCAGTGAGCCGAGATCGCGCCACTGCACTCCAGCCTGGGCGACAGAGCGAGACTCCGTCTCAAAAAAAAAAAAAAAAAAGATACAAAATTATACCTAAAAATAAACTCAATGCTGTATCAGTCTCTTCAGGTAAATGTATGGATTTAAAGCCATTCCAGTAAAATAGATGCTAAAGCTCCTATAGAAGAATAAATAAGTGAAAATAAGAAAAAAAGTCATAAAAGAAAAAATAATGAGGGGTGCTTTCAAAACTAGATATGTTACTAAAGCTATCATAATGACTCTGGTGTGCTACCACCATATAAACAGACAAATAAATGAAAGGAAATGGAAAACTGAGAAAAAGACTCGCAACACATTCATTATTTTCCTCAGTCCAATTGTTTATAGCCAGAGAATATCACATGAAGCAAATCTGAAATTCATACCATATTTGAATGAACACAAATGTATTGTTTTGCATACAGAAGTCAAGCAAGACAGATGAATAAACAGACTTAGATAATCAGAAACTACATGTGCTTACTAATATGATATAAAGGATCCATCTTAATTAGTAGGAAAGAATGGTTTAATCATTGGGAAGGGGAATGGCATAATTTGTTGATTATTTGGAAAAGATAAAGCTTTCTTCCTACCTCATAATATTTATTTAAAAATTGCAGATGGATTAAAGTGTTATAAAGAACACAGTTTTAAAGTCATAAAACAAGTACAGATGAAAATACATCATTTCTTGGTAGAAAAGCAAACAATTAAAAACAGAATTGTTAATAAATTCAAGTACATAAAAACAAAAATGATTCTCATAAATTATCAAAAATAAATTATGGTAAACTAGTGAAAATAATTTTAAAATAAAGTAAAAATAAAGAACAACTGTTATTTATGAAAATTATTATAAATTAATAAGATACATTAATAAGGAATATTGATACAAGAAAATAGGCAACTTATACAAATTATGAACAATATAAGAAAACATTTGCATCACAATTATCAAAGAAGTATATTAAAATGTCAATAATAAATGATTTTTCATGCATAACATTCGCACAAGTAAACAAAAAGGTAATATTCAGTATTGGTAAGGGTGGTAGGAAATAAGGACAGTCATGTACTATTTTCAGAGATGTAAAATAATGCAGCTTTTCTAAAGGTCAATATGGATAATATTTAGCAAAAGCCTTAAGAATATTCACACATGTGAGTCAGCACCCTCACTTAAAGGAATATATTCTAAGAAAACATTTTAAGCTATTAAAAAAGATTTATGCTCATTTTTTCTTCTTTGTAACATAAAAATATTCAGCAATAGGCTGAGCATGGTGGCTCATGCCTGTAATCCCAACGTTTTGGAAGGCCAGAATGAGAGTGTTGCTTGAGGTCAGGAGTTTGAAATCAGCCTGCAGAACATAGTGAGATCCTGTCTCTAAGAAATTAAATAAGTACATATATATTAAATTAAGAAATTAAATATATATATATGAATATATGAGTTTCATGCATTCAGCAGTGGAAGTATGGTAAAATCAATAAGTTATGGTTAATGAATGAATTAAACATAACCATGAGAAAGTGTATTAAACAAGTATTGTAAAAGTGTTGTAAAATACATACATATAAAATTTTACAATTATATAAATAGAAAATCTACTAGAAGAAAGCACACAAAATATTAGCAGTAATCTGTAGCATTTTTTCTACTTTAACATATTTTTAATTTGAAAATTTTCTTTTTATTTATGTATTTTCTAATTAGAATAAATGATACATATATGCATTCTTACAACACACACACAGAAAACGCTGATTAACCTACAGCCTCAAGTAATTCCATTTATTTTTCCAGAAGTATATTAACTTCTGTGTGTATCTCTATAAACTTTTAAATATTAAATATATATTCTATTGCAACCAGACATAAAGGCTATTTTAATGAGTGCTGATCGAAAGAAAAGAGAGTAATCTTTCTTTAACAATCATAGGTCAAAATATTAAGGGCAGTATCTGTGACAAGCCCATCTTCAGGACTGAAACCATATAATGATATAGCAAAGAAAGTTATGTTGCTTTGTACTCAGGTAAATCACTAATCTTGACTATCCCCATCTCACCACTCCTCAAAATAGATAATATTGGTTCTCACTGAGCACCTTCAGAACTTAATAAAATGCTTTAGTGGAGGTACAGAGTGTATGTTTCCAACAATGCCTATGAACTTTATTAGGGAGAAGATGTATTCCCAGTCTTTGTGATTTTGCTTTGAATGCACAAAATTTTTACATAAATTGCTACTCATTTTTAAACAGAAGAAACATATTGAATGCAAACTGAGACTCTGCTCTCACTTTATGAGGAGGAAAAAACAATGGACAGAGGTATGAATCAATGATGGATTATTCTGAGCTTTGTATGACACAGCTGCATATTACAGGATTTATGAATACCATATGTCCACAAGTTTTTGTAAATTGAGGAATATGTAAGAAATAGAGAGTTTACTATAATGGAAGAGCAACCAATGTTACTTTTAAATTGACCTTTACAAATGGCTGACTTGCCACAAAGAGTAGTTGGACTTTATGCTCAAAAGCTAAGCAAATGGTTCAACATTTAATTTTTAAGATGATTAGCCTACATGTTTTTGACAGTGATAGGAGGAGGTAGAGTCACTTAATTGTTTAACCCCTATTAGTTGTATGTCTCGTACGTAAAATGTGCCATGCTGGGCTCTAGGGGTCTAGTAAGGGTGTGGAAGTTTATTTGCCCTTGTGGAGCTCATGGTCTGCCTAGAAGGAGGTATAGGTTTAAATATTTCCAAAGTATCTTACTGTGGTAAATGCTATCACACAGGTTCTAGGAGCCATGGAAGCAAAAGAAAATTCAAATGGTGCCCAAAAGAAGTGATGTCTAGGTTAAGAATTGCAGGATGAATAAGATAAATTTGTGAGATTGGGAAAGGGGAGGTATCTCAAATAAAAAGAGAATGTTCCAGCAAAATAAAATTTCCATCAGTCCTGGAAGTAGAAGGACATATGCCACATTCAGAGAACTGAAGGCAGTTTTCCATGGCAGAAGAGTGCAGAGATATGATTGCACAGGTAAGTAGGGCAGATGGTGAGTGGCCCTATCAGCCATGAAGAGCAATTAGAACCTAATCCTACAGGCAGTGCTGGCAAGGCAAGTGACAGATCAGATTTTGAATTAGAGATCACAGAGATTGGGGTAGAGAGACCACTGAGGAGGTTGCTGCAATTCTCCAAGTGGGAAATCATGTGGTGTGCAATGAGTGGAGGCAGTGCAGATAGAGAGAAGCAGGGAGATTTCAAAGGTAAAAGAAGACAAGTCTGAGTTGGCTGAGGATTGCTTAGGAAATACTGGACTCCAGGGGGAAGCCGAAAGTTCTGGCTTTGGTGCATGGTGGTGAGATGAAAAAAAAAAAAAAAAAAAAAAAGCAAGCACAATATGTTGAGAAAGTATGATGATTTGGCACTGGCTAAGTTGATTTGAAACAATTTCTGAGGCATTATACAGAATGTGCAGAGGGCAATTATATATATAGATGGAAAAAGAAACATTACAAAAGAGAATGAAAAACTAAGTGCAGTAGGAAGCCAGAAAATTATAGGTCTTATATTAAAAAATAGTCTTCCCTCTCCAAATCTTAGTATATGTGTTATATGTAAGAGTGACTAAATATATATTTTCTCAATTAGTTTGTTGAAATATAATTTATATACCACTAAATTCACCAAATTTGAGTGTACAATTTAATGATTTTGCCAAATGTATAGAGTTGTGTAACTCTCACCTCAATCCTGGTATAGAACATTTCTGTCATTTCTAAAAGTTCCCCTGTGGTTCTTCACTATCACACTACTCCCACTCCTAGCCCCTGACCACCACGGATCTGCTTCATCACTATATTTTTGCCTTTTATAAAATTTCATATACAGAGTAAACAGACAACCTACAGAATTGGAGAAAATATTGTCAAAGTATGCATCTCACAAAGGTCTAATATCCAGAATCCATAAGGAACTTAAACAAACTACCAGGCAAAAGCAAATAACTACATTAAAAAAAAAGGAGGCAAAGGATGTGAACAGGCACTTTTCCAAAGAAGACATACATGTGGCCAACAAACATATGAAAAAATGCTCAGCATCACTAATCTTTAGAGAAATACATATGAAATACCATCTCACAAGGATCAGAATGGTTATTATGAAAAAGTCAAAAATTAACAGACACCAGTGAGGTTGTGGAATAAGAAGAATACTTATACACTACTGGCAGGAATGTTCAGCCACTGTGTAAGGTATCTGGAGACTTCTCAAAGAGCTTAAAACAGAACTACCATTCAAGCCAGCAATCCATTACTGGGTATATACCCAAAGGAGTATAAATCATTCTACCTTAAAGACACATGCACATCTATGTCCATGACAGCACTTATAAGTGGGAGCTGAACATTGAGTATATGTGGATACAAGGAAGGGAATAATAGTAATCAGGACCTACTTGAGGGTGTAGGGTGGGAGGAGGGTGAGGATCGAAAAACTAGCCGTTGAAGAAATACCATTTGACCCAGCAATCCCATTACTGGGTATATACACAAATGAATATAAACCATTCTAATACAAAGATACATGCACGCTTATGTTAATTGCAGCACTATTCACAGTAGCCAAGACATGGAATCAATGTAGATGTCCTTCAGTGGTGGACAGGATAAAGAAAATGTGGTACTACTTTTACTGCTCAGTAGTATTTTTTTATATGGACACACCAAAATTTGTTTATCCATTCAGCAGAGAATGAACATTTGGGTTGCTTGACTATTATGTATAAGGTTGCTGTAAACTTTTAAGAACAATTCTCTGTGTGAACATATATTTTGATTTCTCTTGGGTAAATATGTAAATATAAGATTGCTGGGTTTTATGGTTCTTACTTCATAAGAAACTGCCAGCCTGTTTTCCATTGTGGATGTATATTTTACATTCCCATCATTAATGTAAAAATGTAAAAATGTTCCGCATCCTTTCAATACCTGATTTTATCAAGTATTTAAGATTTAGCCATTTCCATATATGGTATTTCATTGTAGTTTTAATTTGCATTTCTCTAATGAGTAAGTATTTGGTTAAATCTGCTTGGTGTTCTATAATCTTCTTGTACTTGGATATTGACATCTTTCTCTATGTTTCGAAAATTCTCTGTTATTATCCCTTTAATTAAACTTTCTACCCCAGTCTCATTCCCTGCCTCCTCTTTGAGGCCAATAACTCTTAGATTTGCCCGGTTGAGGCTATTTTTTAGAACCTGTTAGGCAGGCTTCATTGTTTTTTCTTCTTTTTTCTTTTTATCTCCTCTGACTGTGTATTTTCAGATAGCCTGTCTTCAAGCTCACTAATTCTTTCTTCTGCTTGATCCACTGTGCTATTAAAAGACTCTGATGCATTCTTGAGTATGCCCATTGCATACTAAAGGGCAAATTTAAGAGTTATTGGCCTTAAATAGGAAGTAGAAAGAGAGAGAGAGATGGGGTAGAGAGTTTATTCAAAGGGATACTGTCAGAAAACTTCCCAAACCTAAAGAAAGATATCAACATTTAAGTACAAAAAAGTTATAGAACATCAAGCAGATTTAACCCAAAGACTACCTCAAGGTATTTAATAATCAAAGTCCGGTTAATAATAATAACAATATGTAATTCTGAGTCTTGTTATGAGCATCTCAATCTAAACTGATTTTTTTTTTTTTTTTTTTTTTTTGAGACAGAGTGTTGCTCTGTCACCAGGCTGTAGTACAGCAGCACAATCTCCGCTCAGTGCAACCTCCGACTCCCTGGTTCAAGCGACTCTCCTGCCTCAGTCTCCTGAGTAGCTGGGATTACAGGCACGCGCCTCCATGCCCAGCTAATTTTTGTATTTTTAGTAGAGACGAGGTTTCACCATGTTAGCCACGGGGGTCTCAATCTCCTGACCTCGTGCTCTACCTGCCTCGGCCTCCAAAAATGCTGGGATTACAGGTATGAGCCACCGCGCCCGGCCAATCTAAACTGATTTTAAGTGAAGAGGGAATCTATCTGTTCACTAGCTGAAAAGGCTAAGTGGTGGGTCAAGGCCCATTGAATCCAGAGGTCCAAGGTTGTCAGTAGTCTCCCTTTCTCTCATATGTTTAGTTCTCTTTCTTCCTTCTCAGACTTCCTCCAGGTGGTGGCAAGATGGTTGTTGGCAACTCCAGACTTTTATTTCAAAAGCTTGGCAAAATGAGTAGACAGAAGGAATCTTTTTAAATAATTATTCTGGCAGAAAATGTCTGAGTCTTGTGTGGGTGATTTTCCCTTTCCTGAACCAATCACTGTGGCCAGGAGAAAGTGATATTCTAACTAGTCAGGTCTTGAAAATCAGGGACATTTTATTAGATGTTGAAGATTCAAAGCTCAATAGGATATGATCTTTGATCTTTCAGACTTAGTAAATTGTTTATACTCTACTATGTGTCACAAAGGAAGATTGGTCAGTTGTATCATTCAGTTAGTGATTAGGAAGAAGGTCGCAATATGTTTTCTATCTTTTGACACTTTCTTTAGTATCCTTGCTTGCTACTGCAATACACCGTGCTACATTAGCACAGTAGATTAACAGGAAAACAGGCAACAGGTGAGCAAGCTTTGAGAAAAGAACGTAGCAGCAGAAAAACACTAAATCACTACACTAAACAAATTTCATGAATATAAGAGAAAAATAATACTAACATTTTAGTATTAAAAGACACCTCTGTCTTTTTCCTCTTTCATACCTAATACACTTATGTGGTCCTGTTTGAATACTATGTGACAATGTTGATATTTTTGTTTGTGAATTATGTCCAAGACTAGACAGTTGAATAATTGAAGGCAGAAAAAATCAGTGCCTTTTGATTTTTGTATTTGCATAAGGCCCAGGATATAACCTTACTCATATTAACATCTCAATGAATTATTTATTGAATGTATGAATGAGTAAATGAATAACTAAGGATTGTTCTGCATTATTATGTGTGAGACATTCTATGTGCTTCACATGTATTTGTCCATGGTATCCTAGTAATCCTCTAAGATAGATTCTATTTATTCCTCATTTTGCAAATAAGAAAATTAATCCACAGAGAGTTGTTATTTGCCCATGATCTTGTGAGGATCAAGTTTTAAACTCAGGCCACCTGATTTTTGACTGCTCTAAGTTGTCTTTCTTTTTTTAAGAATAAACTTATTGAAATACTTTGTTATAGAATAAGAAACAAAAAATAAATATTGTATATTTTAACAGTAAAAAGCAATTGGCCACCTATGAAGAGAAAGATTATAATTAGCCTAGAAATGGTCAAAGCACAAGAGTATTATCCATTAACTGGATGAGTCAAATGATGATGTAAGAAAAACCCTTCAATGGTGAGCTAAGACAATCACCTGAGTGACTGTTAGTCTATAAGAGGGCTAAGAAATGATTATCTCTTTGTTCTTAGGTAGCCAAGTAGAAATAAACAAAATTAAGTGACAAGTTGTTTCAACAATTGGTGATGCAAAGAGACCATTCTGAGTTCATTAGACAGCAAATTACTTGACATACAATAAAGCTCAGTAAACCTCAGCTATTACTGTAGAAGAAACCCAAGGCTTCAACAATAGCAATAGCAACAGCAATAGCAGGAAATAAGCATAGAACTACCGCTAGAGCGACCTGGGACTCCTGTTTGCAACTGTATGAGGATGTAATTTTTTTGTTTGTTTATCTCTTTGATCTGTGACTATTGCTGTTTATCTTAACTCCTACATTTGAATAGCTTATGTTGAATTGTTAATAATCATGGAGGGCTCCAGGAAAAAATTGTAATTTGAGTAAAAATTTGTTTGTTGCTTCTTTACTCTCCTTTTCTTTGAGTATTGTCTTAGTATACTTTTGATTTTCTGAAACCCAAAGTTACACTAGCTTAAATAATAAAACAATTATTTTACTCATGTTAGAGAAAGTTCAGAAGTTGGACACTCTTTTGAGTTGACC